>NC_000012.12:70793461-70944976 GCF_000001405.40 Homo sapiens
AAGTAGATCAGTCAAGAGTGAAAGTCATGGCAACAGTCTTTTGGGATGCTCGAGACATTTTGTTTGTTGACTTTCTGGAGGGCCAGAGAACAATGACATCTACCTATTATGAGAGTGTTGTGAGAAAGTTAGCCAAAGCATTACTAGAAAAACACCTGGGAAAGCTTCACCAGAGAGCCCTTCTTCACCACAACAATGTTCCTGCTCATTCTTCCATCAAACGAGGGTAATTTTGTGAGAGGTTTGATAGGAAATCATTAGGCATCCAACTTACAGTTCTGATTTGGCTCCTTCTCACTTATTTTGGTTGCCTAATCTTAAAATATATTTCAAGGGCACAAATTTTTCTTCAGTTAATAATGTAAAAAATACTGTATTGACATAGTTAAATTCCCAGGACCCTCAGTTCTTTAGGGATGGACTAAATGGCTGGTATCATTGTCTACCAAAGTGTCTTGAACTCAAAATGGAGCTTATGTTGAGAAATAAGGTTTATATTTCTTATTTTTATCTTTTAATTCCATTTTCCATGAACTTTTTGAAGTTCCCTCATATACCACAAGCTAACCACATTTCTTTACTAATGAACTATTTAACAAGGTTTGAAGAAATGAGGGAGAAGATGGTAGCTAGTTAAGCCAGATACTTTGTCTCTAGAATCCCCCCCATAGACAACAGATGAAAATTCTGGAATCATATGTGAAATTTTAAAAATGTACATGTAATCACATTATAAATATATTTTGTAAAAGGTGTTTGTTGCTTAACTCAGTTGCCAAAAATACAGACCTAATATGAGAATGGCCATTGCTAGAAATAATGGTGTGTCCACCTGGGGATTCAGGAAAATCTGGCATAACCAGAAGGCCTATGAGCTAGAAATAGTGATGTGTCTATTTACATGAATGACTAAAGAACTTCTTGGAATGGAATTTGTCCTAAGTGACATGAGGGCTAGGTCTCAAAAGAGGAATTTAAGGACAATAAACTGGAGTGAAATGGAGGGGAGGGAAGAGGAATGTAGATCAAAACTTGTGTCAGAACTCTGGGGAAATGAAGCTTGAAATAAAACAAAACCAAACGAAGCCTTTACGACATTTTGGGCAAATATATAACTAACGAACACACACAAATGGAGGAAAAGACACGAGAGAAGACTCCCTTTCCTTTGGTGGTATTTAGTGCAGAGCTTCAGCCCAGAGGGCCTCCGACAGCTGATCAATACACATGGGTCCTCAATGACACAGGACCTTGAACCCCAGCAGCAATCAGAGAACAGTGTCCTTGGTGCAGATATCAATGACATCAGGATCAATCCTGGAAACCTTGACATAGCCACAGGCAGATACTACCACTGCCAACAACTATGGCAATTTCCTATGCACAGGAGACCCCATAGAAGGTGACCCGGAGAGTAAGAGCAGAAAACTTCACTTCTGCATATGTCATGCAAAACTAAAAGAACCCTTCTTATGACAGCAAGTGGATGTCTTCTAGAGATTCAGGGTGGGACAGTTGAGAAGGGCTAGAGATCTAGTGATAGTTGATGTGTAGAGGTGTGGTAAGAGAGAGGGTAGGGAGATTATAATCTCTGTTATAATGCAAGTCTTATTGCCATGCTAGTATGGCTAAGGCAATATATATTTTTTTAAAATCCTTTTGGGATGCCACATACTCTAACATATTCTCCTTGTCATT
Organism: Homo sapiens; assembly: GCF_000001405.40. Taxonomy (NCBI): domain Eukaryota; kingdom Metazoa; phylum Chordata; class Mammalia; order Primates; family Hominidae; genus Homo; species Homo sapiens. The sequence continues at coordinate 70,795,160 of NC_000012.12, forward strand.
TTTCACCTGGCTTACTATTTCTCAAAATTCTCAAAAGGTCTCAGTTCAAATGACCCTTTCTCAGGGGCTCTTTTGTTACACACCCAACTTATATTAAATTACATCTCCTATTTCCTAAGGTGACATTCTTTCTAAATATAACTGTAATATTCTTTGAAGACTCAAGCAAGTTCAAGTAAATAGGATGTTGGAATAGCTTCAAAACAGAATAATAAGAAATGTGATCAACCTTTGATGATTTTCCAGAAAGCCACAAATGAAAATTTCATAGTAACTCTAAAATAAGATAAATCCTCATCCACTGAATGTGTGAGAATAAATTCACTGTTTGTTATTAACTCATAAGAATTCTTCTGAGTATATTATTTTTGACTTTTTATTACCATGATAAAAATATAGCCACATCATTTATTATTTATACAGTCCATTAGAGTTTGTATAAATATCATTTCTATTTGTATCACAAACTAGAGAAATATATGAGTACCTCAAAATTTATTATTCTCTTTACCCCAAAGCCAGCGGCAAAATTTTAAGATTTATTGTCATTGTTAGAATCATTCTTGATACAAAAAGTAAACAAAAATCTTAAATATGTTTGGTTACCAAATGCATCTTATTTGATGTGCATACTTTACGGTGTTGATTTTGGAGTACTGCTCACTGTCATGTGTTTTGAGGAAGGCAATTGCTAAATAACAAACTGTCAGAAACATTTTATTGGGTCCTATATGTTCAAAATGTATTTAGTAGATTTTTTTTTTTTTTTTTTTTTTTTTTTTGACACAGAGTCTTGCCCTGTGACCCAGGCTGGAGTGCAGTGGTGCGATCTCGGTTCACTGCAACTTCTGCCTCCAGGGTTCAAGTGATTCTCCTGCCTCAGCCTGCTGAGTAGCTGGGACTACAGGTGCTTGCCATGAAGCCCGACTAATCTTTATATTTTTAGTAGAGACGGGGTTTCACTATGTTGGGCAGGCTGGTCTTGAACTCCTGACCTCAGGTGATCCACCTGCCTTGGCCTCCCAAAGTGCTGGGATTATAGGCATGAGCCGCCATGCCTGGCCGTATTTAGCAGATTTTTAATAACAGATAATCTGTCTTCCATTTCATTTGACTACCCTGACATAGGCACAATAAAAGTGAGTAAAATGAGTTTATGTGTCCCTCATCAGAATATACACTTTTTTTTAACATTATAGTTTCCCTAGCCTTGTAAACAAACATTGACTCTATGACTGTGAATTAAATCTTACCAAGTGCCAATTAGCACCTTTAAGACAAAATAGATATGTGATTTATAAATATGTGTTTTGGTTTAACATAATCAGTACTTTTATCAGTGCTAAAGATAATCATGGAAGCTAAGGAAAATTACATGCTTCTCAACAAATGTATTAGATCCCTGCCCTGTATCTCAAAATGAATTACCAAGGTAGAAAACACATCTCTTCCATTGAGAATTTACGTTTTTAGGGGATCACAATAGACATAAAGTAAACCATGAAAAGGAAATTAATGAAATGCCACAGTGGCTGTATATGTATATTAAAAAAAAATCCGGTGTGATTTAAAAAAAAAATTTAACTAAGGCCGGGCATGGTGGCTCACGCCTGTAATCCCAGCACTTTGGGAGGCTGAGGCAGGTGGATTATCAGGTCAGGAGTTCGAGACCAGCCTGACCAACATGATGAAACCCTGTCTCCACTAAATTAGCCGGGCATGGTGGCGTGCACCTGTAATCCCAACTACTCAGGAGGCTGAGGCAGGAGAATCCCTCGAACCTAGGAGGCAGAGGTTGCTGTGAGCCGAGACTGCACCACTGTACTCCAGCCTGGGTGACAGAGCGAGACTCTGTCTAAAAAAAATTGTCTAAACACATTATAAAATAAGCAATAACTGATGAAGGAGTATGGATAAGTCGTATCCTTCTCTTTGCTTTTGACTATGCTTTGCTCTTTCAAGCTCTCTCTTTGGATATACTGCTTGTTTTGTTTCCCTGGCTTGAAATGAATGTTTACTTGATTCACTCAACAAATATTTGAGTTTCTAATATATGCCAAGGAATGTTGGGCATACAGTAGTTATGAAGGCCTCATCTCTGCCCTCACAGTCCTGTGAAAGCTCTTTTCTTCTCTTATCAAAGGCAAAATCCCTCCAATTATGCTCCCATCCCCAACTGTGTTCTCAAGAATTTTCTTCCCTTTTCATTTTCTACATCATCAGTTTCTCCTTCACTACTGGGTTACTCCTACAAGCTTATAAATATATATAAGCTACCTTGAAAATTAAACCTTCATAGATTCCACATCTCTCTCTACCCATTGGCCCATTTCTTTGTTTCCACATAAAGTATTTTCAAGCAAATCATCTACAGTTTCTGCCTCATCATCATCTCTATTCTGCTCTTCAATCACTCTCATCTGACATTATCTCAACAATGGAAAGAAACCAATCATGTCAATGGTCTCACCAATGACCTCCAAACTGCCACTTCCAATAGACACTGTGTGTCCTTATCTAGTTCTCAGGATCATTTTGGCACCATTGAGTACTCTTGTCTTCTTGAAACTTTCTTCTCTTAGCTTCTGTGGCATCATATATTCCTGGGTTTTCTCCAATGCCAGTGGTGTTCTTTCTCATCTCCTTCACTGGCTCCTCTTCTTCTACTCAACTTCTTAATGCTGATGATGCTTAGGGTTCCTGCCTGGACACTTTCTATTTCTACTCTTTCTATTTTTTATACTCTTTCCCTAGGAAATTTTATTCAGTCCCATGTTTTACACATTCTATGTGCTGATATTTTCCAAATGTCTCTGTCTTCAGCCAAAGTCTTTCCTCTGAGTTCCATAGACTTTTATATTTAACTACTACCTGATATCTCGATTGAGATGTCTGAAAGGAATCTCAAATTCAAGGTGCCCAAAATTGAGATACTGATTATTTTTAAACCTGTTATTCTAACATTCCCATTTTAGTAAGTGGAACTACTAATCATTCAATTATACAAGTAAAAACCTGGGAAGTACCTGTGAATCATGTTCTTCCCTCACCACACCCACTCCATCCTCAGATATGTTAGTTCTGCTTCCAAATATACAATAAAATCTTCCCATTTTTATCTGTCTCCACTGTCAGCACCAAATTCAACTACTGTCATCTATGTCTTGGGATACTATTATAGCATCCCTGCTTCCATTCTTGTCCCTTTCCAATCCATTCTTCATATAACATCAAGAGAAATATTTTAAAAATATACACGAGATCAAATCTATTTTATCTATTCAGTGCAGAAACTCTTTAAGTTGTCTTTTCCTACTGCTTTTACAACAGGCTCCACAGCTCACCCTGGTTTACAAAGCCCTGCATATCTAAGTCTCTGGCTCACTTCACTGGCCTTGTCTTTCTTTCCAGTGCTCCAGCCACACTGGCCTAGTTTCTGTTTTGCAAACCCTTGTCCTGGCTCTTCCTTCTGTTCATAATGTGATCTGCCAAATCTTGAAATGCTGCTTACTCTGATTCATCAGATCTTGACTTAAATGTTCATTTTCATGGAGGCTGCTCTAATCATTTTATCTAAAGAAGCACCCCACCCCCACCCTCATCACATTCTCTATCTCAGTATCTGGTATGTATCTTACATAGACCTTATTATAGTCTCTAATAACCCCATTTGTGTGGGCTTATTTGTTGTCTCAATGTTAGCTCTTTGAGGAGTAAGCCACTTTGCCTTGTTTAACCCAGTACCTATCCTAGTCCCTGGTACATAACTAGGTGCTCAATAGATTTTTTGTTGGATAAATAAATGCAGGCAAACAGAAAATAATAAAAAGTGTAAAGAAATAGTAAATAACAAAAAGTAGTCTAAGGACCTTGGTAGAAGAAGTATAAGGGGCTCCATAAGCAATCTTTTAAGGGCACCAAACCCCTCAATCAGAGAAAGACAAGTCTAAGATCCGCTTACCTCCCTGACCATACCTGTACACATTAATTTTTATCCTCAAAAAACAGTCCAGAGTACCTATAGCTTAAAGTACACCATTTAGCCATGTAGGATAAGTCTATGTCTATGTGTGTTGGATATGTATACCATATACACATACCACATGTATGTTATATATACCTATATTAAACACTCTTAAATCTAGACATACCTCAATGTATTATTTCATAATTACTTAAGTATATTGTTCTTGATTCCTCAGTTGTTAAAATTTTCAATTGAGCTCCCAGAATCGCATGTTTATTTCCTCTAAAATAAAGCTTCATCTTTGTGTATTGAGCTTTGGCAAGATGACATTTCAAAGAAATTAAGAGCCATGAGAGAAATTAATATGTACTTCTAACAAGCAGTGTTCAGATGTAATATTTATATTTGTCATTAAAGATGTTACAGCACTGATTTTTTTTTACCCTATGGACATATATTTTCACATAGATATGTGTGTGTTTTCTTATGAAATTTCCATTAAGTAACAAAAAGTCAATTCTTTCTTGGAAATAAACATCAGAAAATATCTTTGGTGATGAGAAAAAGAAGAGCACTCTAAATGTTTGATGTGCAAATAATTTCAAAGAAGAGATGAGTTTTTATAAAATAAGCCCAGTCCAAGCCCCGTTTTTTAAATTTACAGCATCCACAATAATCCATGCCACAAACACTTTGTCAGGTAGCAGGGCAGGTCATGGGGCAGAATCTCAGAGAGAGCAGCAGCAGGTAGGCTTCTTAGCCAGCCCTTTTAATTAGCAGCTCATCATAAATATTAATCATATTATAACGGTGATTCAGAAGCCAATAGTCACAAAGATATGGTTAAAATACATGACAGCCTAGACAGTTCTCGTCTCTTTGATGTTCAGTCTACCTATTTACCTGGAGGTGCAGCCAGCATCTGGGAATATGCAACCAATGTTGGAAGGCACTTGAGACTGTAATGAATGTGGGCACATACATTAGTTTGGCTATTTCGCTAAAATAAAATACCAAAAGCTAGCAAAGAATAGGCATACTAAAACACCTGGAGTGCATGATCAAGCCGCTTCCTGTCTCTTGAAATCTGTCTAAACCCTTTCCCCCCTACCCACTGCATTTTAGACATACTGTTCTCTCTCTTTTTTTTTTTTTGTGCTGAGGTTATAGAGCTTGATGTGGAAGTCCATGAGTACTTACAAAATGCGATATGGTATCAAAGAGAAACAGGAACCTGCTGACACATTAGGCCAGTGAGTAGGGCAAAAAAGGATGGGGCTAAGAGGAGCAATAAGCAGAAACTTGAATATATAAAATTTCATATCAAGAATAATAAAAAGAGCTAACACTTAGGTAGCACTTGCTATGTCCCAGTCACTGCAAATACACTTAACACATTGACCCAATTAATCTTTACAGCAAACTCATAAAGTAGGTATTTTTTTCATTTACTAATGAGGTAACTGAGGCTCAAAAGTATTAATGAGGCCAGGCATGGTGGCTCATGCCTGTAATCCCAGCACTGTGGGAGGCGGAGGTGGGTGGATCACCTGGGGTCAGGAGTTCAAGTCCAGTCTGGCCAACATGGTGAAACCCCATCTCCACTAAAAATACAAAAATTAGCTGGGTGTGGTGACACGTGCCTGTAATCTCAGCTATTCAGGAGGCTGAGGCAGGAGAATCGCTTGAACCCGGGTGGCGGAGGTTGTAGTGAGCTGAGATCGCACTATTGCACTCCAGCCTGGGAGACAAGAGCGAAACTCCATCTCATAAAAAAAAAAAAAAAAGTATTAATGACTTTTCCTAAGGCCACATGCCTATTAAGTCATGCACCTTCTCCCCACAAACCCCACCACACATGGTGTGGTATTCATTAACATGGAGAAGATCATATTTAAATTAGTTTTAATAACAATTTTAAAAAAGAACTACTGTAGCATAGTAGAATGAGAGTTAAATAGAGTAAAAAGATCTATAATAAAATATAAAGATTTAGGTTATGACCCTGAATCTTCCTCTAATTGTACAAACTAGGCAGTTCCTTTATATATCTGTTGTTCAGCATTCTTAGTTGGAAACAGATGGAGTTGGGCTCTACCTTCTTAAAGTCCATTGTCATGGTTAATTTTATGCATCAACTTGGCTGGGCTATGGGGTACCAGATATGGGGCACCCAGATATTTGGTTAAACATTATTCTGGGTGTGACTGTGAGGGTGTTTCTGGATGACATTAACATTTGAATTGAAAAATGAGTAAATAAGATTGCCTCCCCATTGTGGGTTGGCTTCTTCCAATCTGTTGAAAGCCTGAAAACAACAAAAGACTCACCCTCCCCCAAGTAAGAAATAATTTACTTTCTCTGCCTGACTGAGTAGGTACACCGGTTTTCTCCCGCTCTTGTACGTGGATTCAGATTCGAACTTACACCATTGCCTTTCTTGGTTCTCATGTCTTTGGATTACAACTTAAACTTGTATCATCAGCTCTCCTGGTTTTCAGGCTTTTGTACTCAGACTGGAACTATACTATTGGTTCTCCTGGATCACCAGCTAGCTGACTGCAGACCTTGGGACTTCTCAACCTCCATAACCACATGAGCCACTCCTTATAATAAATCTATCTATCTATCTATCTATAGCTATCTATCTCCCTCCCTCCCTCTCTATCTCCCATTGGTTTTGTTTCTTTGGAAAATCCAGACTAATATATCCATCTAATATTACTGGCAATCCAGAATAAACAGCTTTTCCTAAGATATTATGATTGAACTCTTCTTTCTCCCACATCCTCCTTACAGAAGGTTTTGGCTTTCATCCTATAGATAGGAGGGTAAAAACAGATGGTGCAGGGGTGTCGCAGAGTAGGTTGTGGCCACAAAATTGAGAGAATATTTATTGGAAACCTGTAAGAATCAGTTTGTCTTTAGCTCACATTGCTGAACAGAATGATTGTACAGTATAAATAATTGTCACCCTCTACTTTAGCTCCTTTTCCTGATAGCAAAGAAAAAATGTTAGATCATATGGCGTTCTCATTGAAATAAAATAAATAATACTAAAAGAATTATTGAATTATTTATAAAATACAAGCAGCACCAGCTTAAAACAGCTGTCTTTGCAAACATAATTTGTTAAATTAATACAACTTCGTAAAGAGTAATATTTTCACAGATGTCTTTTCATGATTGATGAAATACTGTCTCATTTACTCTATCAGGTAATGATGAGCAAATTATATTGAGAAGACTTATGTAGGAGAAGTCATATTTTGTCAGATTTTAATCAATATATGGTCATGGGAATTAGGCACAAGATACAACCATTAAAATGGCTTTAAATAATAATGGCAATGACAGGGCAGTGATTTTGTTATTTACCTCCAAATGTACTGTTACACTTTTTGCAAACATCTGTTAGATAATAATTAAGAAATAAGTCACATTAAAGTGCTGAGATTTTTAGAGATTATATTGTCTTATCTCTCTAAATTTACAAATGCATTTAACGAAATTTAGAGTAAGTTAGTTTCCCATCTGGGGTCATGAAGCTATTGGAAGACCTGGGCTTCCAACCCAGGTTTTCAGATGTCTATGCCAGGGATTCTTTCTCTTTGTTTCCAACATTTATAATTGGTGTCTATATCTTGAGATGTAGCTTTTCAATATATGATTCTGTGAGACTATAAATAAGTAATTACTTTCAGTATTGAATAAAATTTCTTCCAATTTTGTGCTTTGGAAATTGCTGATTTAAGAAAAGTTAGACCTGAAATGTCAATGTGAATGTAACTTTTGGTCTACATATGTCAAATTTACCTACTTTAACTCATGAGAATGAGTATTTGGGCAAAATATTATCATGTAGATTTGGTTTATATTACATGCCCACATAGAATAGAAGCCAATTTGATAAGGCTATCTGTTAATTTTATCTTCAAAACCCAAATTTAGAAAGAATATTTACCATATCTTAGAAAAATAAATTTTTGATTCAGGGTATGTGAAGATTTTGTCACTAAAGCAGTTGCCATCAGCTCATGAGCCAAATTGCTGGATTGTGCCCCTAATCTCTGAAGCGCTCCGGGGGGCATAATACAGTAATTCCAAATTTCAAATTTTTACAGAATTTCATTTCTTTAAAACCTTCTCCTGGCCAGTAGAGTCCAGGGGCCAGTTCTGAGTATAGGGAGTTAGCACCTGCAGATCACAGAAATAAAATTGCAGGGCAATCACCAAAAGAAGCACTCTTTGGGTTTGTCAATACCAAGTCAATATGTCCAGAGTTGAATACTAAATCTAAGTGCAAACACCAAGAAGAAGCAGTATGCAAATTCAAGTAGACAAGAGGCCAACAAGTACTTCACAAACATGTAACAACTTGAAGCTTGTGGTAAAAAGATCAGTTGGAAGATCTCACAGGACCACTGGATAGGTGCTCTGGTAGCTTCCCATACAGTTCCCATAGGTTCTACTATGAGAATTCTAGGATCATGCCGAGACAATGCTGCCCATGGAGAAACAGAAGGAAGTCATGCAGAAGTAAAATAAGGAAAATATAATGCCTGAGGAAAGAGATTCTCTACCATTCTTTACTACCTATCAGAAGGCAGGTCAGTTTCTTCTTTCTAAGCATGATTAGGCCATTTGTATCTATTTGATGAGGAAACAGAATTGAAAATTATTCTCAGAAATTATTTGCAATTGATCTTCTTTACTGCCACTAAGGTGTGCATGCATGTGTGCTTGTGTATATGCCTGCATGGGTGTGTGTAACATGCATGTGCAGGTGTGTGTGTATTTATGTATTCAGGTGGATGGCGGGTCTAGGATAAGAGGCACATAGGATGAAAAATTTAAGGAGATACCTACTGTTAGGGGAGTGCAAGCATTTGGCATTTTGGAGGTTTAGAAATGGAATTCAAATAAGATAGTCTGTTTGCATGACCCTGAGAGTGAGTGTCTTCTTAAATTTTTTGCCCTCAATGCCTGTCTTGTTTCACCTGTTCCTGGCTCTGTGTGTGTGTGTGTGTGTGTGTGTGTGTGTGTGTGTGTTAAGGTTAACTTTAAATTTGAGTCTTTATTTCTTGTATGCTTGTTATAGTTAGGTTGGTTAGCTGGCTATTTTCTTTACCATTTGAAGACCTCTGGGCCGGGTGCAGTGGCTCACTCCTGTGATCCCAGCACTTTGGGAGGCCAATATGAGTAGATTGCTTGAGCTCAGGAGTTTGAGACCAGCCTTGGCAACATGGCAAAACCCTGTCTCTACCAAAAAATATATAAAAATTAGGCAGCCATGGTGATATACACCTGTAGTCCCAGCTACTTGGGAGGCTGAGGTGGGAGGATCACTTGAGCCTGGGAGGTTGATGCTGCAGCTGCAGTAAGCCATGATCACACCACTGCATTCCAGCCTGGGTGACAGAAAAAAAAAAGAAGACTCCTGATGCTAGCTAATTAAATAAGAAGTAAACTTACCTACATCTTCATAGAAATACTATACCAATATCCATATGGCTCAATACAATTTAAGAAAGTTTGCTCAGGGCCACACAAGAAGTTAAGGACAGAAATGGGATTAGAATCAGTCTGTTTCCTGGTTCCTGGCTTCCACCACACTACCCACTGACTTCACATGCAAAGACAGACTGTTGACAGCCTTGATGAACGTGCGAACATATTGTAAACCACGGGTCACTGCACTGGTGTTTGCAGAAACTCAAATTTCAAGATGATCATTGCTACAAAAAGAAAGTTTTAGTTTCCAGATTGCCCATTGTGAAAATTTGAAAAAACAGTATAAAGAAATAAAGATCATGTCCATATATTCACTAAAAGATAGCAAATAATATTTTATGTATCTCTCCCCATGCTTATTTTGTCACACACGAACGAGATAGTATATATCCTTTATATCATTAATTTTTCTTTCACAGGAATAGCCTTTTATTTTCTATGATGTTATTCTTTTGCTGTCACTTAATATTTGATGCCATTTTCTAAACCAAAAGTATAGGTTTATCTTAGCATTGTATAAATATTTTAAAACATTTAATTAGATCTTACTGATGGACATTTATGCTGTTTCTATTTTATCCTGTAACATTCTTTTTGTACTTCTTGCAGTGCTTTCTTAGAATTTATAGAATTAGTTAAAATCAATGATTTTTGAGGGAGTTTATGTATATATGTATATGTATATATATAATTTTATTATTTATTATTATTTTTGGGACAGGATCTCATTCTGTGGCCCAGGCTGGAGTAGAGTGGTGTGATCATAGCTCCCTGAAGCCTGGAGTCAGCTATGATCCTGGGCTCCTGGGCTTAAGCGATCCTCCCACCTCATCCTCCCAAGTGGCTGGGACTACAAGTGGGCACCCCCATGGTGGGTTCCTTTTTTACTTTTTAAACTTGTGCAGAGATAGAGTCTGCCTATGTTGCCCAGGCTGGTTGTAAACTCCTGGTCTCAAGTGATCCTCCTGTTTCGGCTGGGACTTTTTATAATTTTGCCAAGTTGCCCTTCAGGGAGGTTGTAAAATATGAATTTCCATTAGCAGTTTATTAAACATGAGTTGTCTCATTTAATCCTTGCAACAACCAAATGTGGTAGATAATATTATTATTCCCATTCTAAGGATGAGGAAATTCGGATGCATTGCTCAAGATTATATAGGTTGTAAGTTGTAGAGTTGAAATTTAAACTGTGGCAGTTTGACTCCAGAGCCTATGCTCTTAATCACTAGGCTATATACACATATATAGTTCTAATATTAGAAAAATTATGTATATGTATTTCATATAGCATGTGTGGGTCTTGGCCAGAAACAGAATGTGGAATATAATTGTGCCAAAGCATAAAGTTCTTTATATGTAATATATAGACCTTTAAGTTCTGATGTGGTCTGCCCCCTGGCCAAGTGGTACAAAAGGCATTGATCTGGTAGATTTCTTACCCTCACAGGTCTGAGTTGACCAACCAACCAATTACAGATGTGTCTTCAGGAGGGAACAGGGAGAAACTAGAGCATTAGATCCATTCACTTGCATCCAAATCCTATGTATATTGGCTGCCTGTTTGGAAATCATTTCAAATGAAAGCAACCTTGAACTGGCTCTGAGTCATTACTCTAGACAGACTCTAGAGAGAGAGAGAGAACATTTCAGCATTTCAATAGAACCCACAGTAGGAGACATTGTGTGGCTACAGGAAAGTCTTGTTTGGGCTTAGTAGGTGATAAGATACGCAGTTTGACCATAGATATTGGCATATATACAAGATATAGTGGTTGGAAAGAATGAACAAGTAATGCAGGTTAGGTCCAAATCATCAAGGACCTTGATTGCTGGGCTATGGAGTTTGAGTTTGATTTTGTAAGTTCTGGGAAACTACTGAAAGTTAAACCATTTGTCAAAGCAATAAAGGTCCCCTATGAATGAACCTCAAAATCTGTTTGTAAATTCACAGCACATAACTTCCTTATAAAAACACTTGTACATTCTCTTAGATCCAGACATATCATACTACCATTTGCCTCTTCCTCAGACATGCCGTGCCATTTTTACTCCTATTGCCTTTCCATTGTTTATTCTGTTCGGAATCGTAGTTCCCATTTCCTTTACCAAATCTTACTTATCCCAAAATCCCCAACCTAAGTGCTACTTCCATGATCTTACTCTAAATCAGAAATTGCTCTTTTCCTGTCCTACAACTGATTTCTTTCTGTTTGATTTAGTTGTTCTATGTGGGGATAGTACTGGGAGATTGACCCCACAGAAATTCTCAAGTCCCTCCTTTTCTCTTGCCATTTCCCACAAGACGGGTTGGAAAAACTAAGTACTCATTTCTGCAGCCTTCCTTACAGCTAGGTGTGGTCACATAGCACAGTTCTGAGATGTCTGCAAGGAACTTAATAGGAAAGCTTATGTTTCCTTATAAGAAAGACATGCAGTAGAAGGGAACTCTTTGTCTCTTTCCCCTTCCTTCCTTAAACACTGACATGATGCTTAGAGATGTGCAGCTATTTTACAACCATGAAGTAGAAAGTACAAAGCCAGAAGGCACATGCAAAGGATAGACAAGTAAAGGGATGGGACATTGTTGAACTACTGCATCTACTCAGGACTGCTCATGTGTAGACTTCTTATATGTGAGAAGTTAAAATTATTTATTGCATCATCCTCTTAACTGAATTTGTTGGTTTTTGCTGCTGAATGCATTTCTAATAAATGTAATCTACTTGCCCACCTTTTAAAAAAATGCATTATTAAGAACTATAGTCATCATGTCATACAATAGATAGCTTGAACTTATTCCTCTTCACGAAATTTTGTATCTTCTAACCAATATCTTCTCCCCCCACCCCACCAGATACAATGTACTTGTCCATTTTTACCACTGGATTCTAAATTTTAGTTCAGTATATTTTAAATTCCTTGATGGAAAGTTTTAAGTATCTTACAGACCGGCTGAAGCCATGGCAGAAGAACATAAATTGTGAAGATTTCATGGACATTTATTAGTTACCCAAATTAACACTTTTATAATTTCTTACGCCTGTCTTTACTGCAATCTCTGAACATAATTTGTGAAGATTTCATGGACATTTATCACTTCCCCAATCAATACTCTTGTGATTTCCTATGCCTGTCTTTACTTTAATCTCTTAATCCCATCATCTTCATAAGCTGAGGATGTATGTCACCTCAGGACTCTGTGATGATTGCGTTAACTGCACAAATTGTTTAAACAATATCAAATCTGGGCACCTTAAGAAGAGGATAACAGCGATTTTCAGGGAACAAAGGAGATAAGCTTAAAGTCTGGCTGCCTGTGGGCTGGGCAGGACAGAGCCATATTTCTCTTATTACTGAAAACGGGTAAGAGAAGTATTGCTGAATTCTTTCCCCAGTAAGGAATACTAATAATTAGCAGCCCTGGGAAAAGAATGCATTCCCAGGGGAGGCCTCTGAAATGGCCACCCTGGGAGTGTCTGCTTTTATGCAGATGTAGATAGGGATGAAACACACCCTACTCTCCTGCAGCACCCCCAGGCTTGCTAGGATTAGGAAATTCCAGCCTGGCAAATTCTAGTCAGACTGGTTCTCTGCTCTTGAACTCTTTTAAGATGTTTATCAATGACAATGCGTGCACAGTGGGACATGGAAGTTCATTAGTGATTCTAGTTGCCCTGAACTTGTGATCTTGCCCTGCTCATCTGCCTTGTGATCTTTTGTTGCCCTTAAAGCATGTGATCTCTGTGACCCACACCCTATTTGTACACTCCCTCCCCTCTGAAAATTGCTAATAAAAACTTGCTGGTTTTACAGCTCAGGGGGCATCACAGAACCTGCTGACATGTGATGTCTCCCTTGGACACCCAGCTTTAAAATTTCTCTCTTTTGTACTCTCTCCCTCTATTTCTCAGACTGGCCAACACTTAGGGCAAATAGGAAAGGACTCACGTTGAATTATCGGAGGCAGTTTCCCCTGATACTACTGAAAGTTAGACCATTTGTCAAAGCAATAAAGGTCCTCTATGAATGAATCTCAAAATCTCTTTATAAATTCAGAGCACATAACTTCCTTATAAGCACACTTGTACATTCTCTTAGATCCAGACATATCATACTACCATTTGCCTCTTCCTCAGACATGCCGTGCCATTTTTACCCCTATTGCCTTTCCATTGTTTATTCTGTTCAGAATTGTAGTTCCCAATTCCTTTAACAAATCTTACTTATCCTAAAATCCCCAACCTAAGTGCTACTTCCATGATCTTCTTACTCTAAATCAGAAATTGCTCTTTTCCTGTCCTACAACTGATTTCTTTCTGTTTGATTTAGTTGTTCTATGTGGAGATAGTATAGGGAGATTGACCCCACAGAAATTCTCAAGTCCCTTCTTTTCTCTTGCCATTTCCCGCCAGAAGGGTTGGAAAAACTACTCATTTCTGCAGCCTTCCTTACAGCTAGGTGTGGTCACATGGCACAGTTCTGAGATGTCTGCAAGGAACTTAATAGGAAAGCTTATGTTTCCTTATAAAAAAGACAGGCAGTAGAAGGGAGCTCTTTGTCTCTTTCCCCTTCCTTCCTTAAACACTGACATGATGCTTAGAGATGTGCAGCTTTTGCAACCATGAGGTAGAAAGTACAAAGCCAGAAGGCAAATGCAAAGGATGGAGAAGTAAAGGGATGGGACATTGTTGAACTACTGCATCTACTCAGGATTGCTCATGTGTAGATTTCTTATATGTGAGAAGTTAAAATTATTCATTGTGTTAGCCTCTTAACTGAATTTGTTGGTTTTTGCTGCTGAATGCATTTCTAATAAATGTAATCTACTTGCCCATCTTTTAAAAATATGCATTATTAAGAACTATAGTCATTATGTCGTACAGTAGATAGCTTGAACTTATTCCTCTTCACTAAATTCTATATCTTCTAACCAATATCTTCTCCCACCACCCCACCAGATACAATGTACTTGTCCATTTTTACCACTGGATTCTAAATTTAAGTTCAGTATATTTTAAATTCCTTGATGGAAAGTTTTAAGTATCTTCATCTTTGTATTTATTTTTTGTTGATGAACTTTGAATACAGATCCTCAATAAATGCTAAATTGATTGAATATGGTTTCATCTATCAATACGAACAATTCAAATAAAAGTGTGAGAGAGAAACTAAACATGACCACTAAATAAACATTATGTAAAGTCGTACTTTTAAAAACGATATTCTGTGAAACATTTCTTTTAGATTTTAACTTTTCCCTTGTTGATATATTATCTAATTTTGGACAAAGGTGAGCTCAGAATGTTGCTGAGCCAGTTTCCACCTTATTTAGATGGACTTCGAAATGGAAAGCATATTAGCAATTTGTTTTCATAAGATATCCCACAAGGAAAGAATAAACAATCACCAGCAGTCATGTAAATACAGTGGGACTTTTCTAGTGACGTCATCATGTTTCACTATTTATCACTCCTCATTTGGACTATTCCCTTATAAATACCGCCAGGTAAGCATCAGATGGTTTGTGAAGCCTTAAAGAGCTACCCTGAAGTTATTTTCGGTAGCTCTGTCCCCAAAAAAACCTCAGCTAAAATTAATAAGCAATTGGTGCAGTTGAATGGGATGATTCAAAGCACATACAGTCCCTAGAATTTGCTTTGCAGAAGTCAGGTATAAAATGTCAAGTGGTAGAACAGCTCAGTGTGTATTTCCTAACATTAGGTAGTAATATTAAAAACACTTATTCTTTAAGAACGTAGACATAATATCATTACTTTCACAGAGGTCTTTTCCCTCATTTTCTAGGTACACGCAAAAATTAGTGGCAAAAGGTCAATGCATTAATCTCTTTGAGAGTCATCACTTAACTTTTAACAGTTATTTGATTATCAGTTTTAAAAGATCACTTTCTTGAATACTGAATTAATGCAACGATGTTACTGTTATGTATAATAAATATGAAAATCATACCAAAACCTTAAGTTGCCTGGAGGTGCTTACTGAGAAATCATTTCTCTGATAAATTGTTTGGAAGTTAAGTAGTTTCTCAACTAGAATGAGAATGCTCTAGTGAGAAATGTACCTAAAATTTTAAATGACAATGGCAATCTCAGTGCCATGCCTATTTCTTTCTCCTTAACAAAATAGCATGATTATATGTCTATCTTTCACAGAAAGACAAAAACTCTCTGAGCCAATTACCTTTAAGACCTCATATGTAAGAAAAGCAAACCTAATTGAAATGCGCTATGGCAATTCTATGACTGCACATCCTGTCAGCATTAACTAGGATTTGATTTAACTGATTATTCTCCTAAAGAGAAATGCATGTTAGTGAATGTGCAGTGAAGCGTTTAACAAAAAGTCAGTGTGCCCTTAGGTATCTTTGTGATTTCTCGGAGACAGTGAGGACCGTAGGATGTAGATTCCCTATAATAAAACCTCACATCAATAAAAACACAAGATAAAAAAAAGAGCAACTTCAGAGTAAATGTTAGATGTTTGCATTTGATGGACGCCACTGCAGTTTCTCAACCAATGCATAACAAACAAGGAAAGGTACTGTTCTGGAATAATAATTTCACGGGACATTATTATGAACTGACAGGTGCCTACAAAATATGACATTCTCATCTACATTTTATGTGGATTTTATGACAGAAGTTCAGTAAACATTCTCCCAAATGTGAAATTCTTTGGGCAGCTTTAAAAGCAAATGAAGACAGACATGATATTTGTAGTCTGGCTGGTTAAATAGGTGAAAGTATGCATTTTTAAGAATGCTTTGGCGGTTTTCTGAGAAAAAACTGCCTGCAAAAGGTTCAAAAGCAAATGCTATAGCTCTTAAAATAAATGCTTCTAAGTGAACACCATTAGGTAGAGGCAGGCCTCCATGCAAAACACAGCAGAAACCTTAGACCATCAACTCAGGCAACGCTGGTCTCCAGGCCACTTTCATTGTATATTCGCAGGTATCTGAAGCAAATGTAGGTTGTGTTGGATATTTATGATTGTTAACAATGTCAACATTTATTGAACCTTTTGCATGTACTAGTTCATTAAATTGTTCCCACACCCTGATGCAGTAAGATCTATTGCCATGTCCACACTACCAATGAGGAAGCAACAGATGAAGGGCAGAGAGGTCAGTGACTGGCCCAAGGTCAAATAGCTCTAAGCAGTGGACATAAGGCCCAATTCTACTGCTAAAACATTATTCATTGTGTTTTCTTGTACAGACTTTGCCTGATTCCAAAGCAGCCAATTAAGCAAAATTTTAATGATGTCATCTAGCACTGACTGATAGTCACAAAAAGATTTTCATGTTTTTATAATATTACCTTATTTTAGCTTTTCAGCTCACTTTAATCAAGAACTCCTTAAAAGAGGCATTGGTCAATTGGTAGGGATTGTCAAAGTGATCCCTCAGTCTTTCTGCTATGCAAGAACAGTTTACAATTCTGCTTTTCTATCAGTTGATCCTTACTGATCACTTTTTTTAGATTAGAAAAAATTAGAAAGCTACAAAATCTCAGAGGTGTTAGATTAGAAAAGTGAGTCCTCGGTTCTATAAGATGCTGTTGTAAATGGCAATATAATTGCACAAGAGACACTGGCAGTAGAGTGGGTGAAAGAAGCACCTCAGTAATGCATGAATCATTAACATGGGCAGCCACGTGACACCCAAAAGGGCAAGTTTCAGAGGTGCCACAATGCAAATTGTTCCAGAACATGAGAGCTTTCATGAAACATTAACACTGATTTACTATCCCAGGTGGACTACTCGTGAAAGTGCTTTAAAGGAGGGAGAGAGAAAAATCCACATGCCCACTCCATTTAATTCCTCAAGGAATAGGTTTATTTTCTGCCATGTGATCACCTCTAATAATACTGCAGCACTTTTAGAAAGGATAGATATGATTTCCCTAACCCACGTTTCCCATCTGAGAAACTGCAATAACAATTAACTATTAATGACAAGAAGAAAATAAGCTTTCTTTTCCCTTGGCAATCTGTCACAGTGAACTCCGCTGGTAGCTTGAGAAGCAGTTCGATGTGTTTATCTGTCAAAAGGATATCATCTTAGAGGTAAGAAAAGCACACTCTTCAGAAAAATGCCCTCCTTATGGATAAAACTAGAGCTAAATGTATTTTATTCTTGCAGATAGGTTTCCATTTTCATAAATCACAGACAGATTAAAAATTTCACTGAATAGAGTCAGAAACAGGAAAATTGTACCCCTGGCTTTCTGGAGCCATAAAATCAGCCCCCAGTTTAATTGCTTGCTCATTGAGCTATTCTGCTTTCTGAAAATCAATTTTGAGTATCAAATTAGTTTTAACTTTTCAAATCTGAGAGAAAGAATTTTAGAACTCTCCGACATAATTTGCTATACTTTGGATTGTCTCAAAATCATGACTGGAAACCACTTTATCCAAACTCTCTCTTGTATAATATGTGATCGCTTAACTTTTTAATACATGCAGCAGGAACTAAGCTTTTCATCTTTTTGCCCAAGCACATACATTCATCATCTTGTACATGGACATTGGCTAAATGAGATGCTACAACTTTTACCTAATTTTCTTCAAAATGTTGATATGCAATGTATAGTAAAATGTTAAGATTAAATGAAAACTCTACCATCTTTGCAAAGCCTTCTTAAAAAAGAGGATTAACTTTTGCATTGACCTATTACAGGTCCTTTGGGAAGCCTTCCAAAAATTCTGTGCATCTCAACGTGGATATTTTACGTTTTTGACAATAGAACTTAAACCTGTTAGAAATTTCCCTTTGAAATCATATATTCATCTCCTTTGAACTCAACAATTTTCTAAATACCATGCATATTGTGTTTCTTGAAATGTGAGAAGTTAGGAATTCCACTTGCAGGTGTCAAAGAGTAACAAGAACTGAGTTAGTGACTCTTCTGCCTTAAATGAGTATAAAACTAGACCAAATATGTGAAGCAAAAGTTTTCAGATGTTGGACAACAGGCAGCACAGGACAGTGATCCTTGAGAGGAGGAAATAGTGGGATGAGCGTCACCAGCACCTCAGCTTCCTGCCTGAAGAGAGGCCACACATCTCCCCAAGTTCAGAATTCAAAGAGGCCAAGGAGGCTAGAATTCTCAGGGCAGAGTACCAGAGAGCAGAGTGCTGTATGGAAAAGAGAGACCTACATAGAACGATCGCTTGCTCTACAGGGTTTTCCTGGAGTTTTCAGGTGAGTCCTGATCAGCACAAGGATGGGAGGAAGCTTCCTGAGGCAGGGGGAATAAAACCAACCAGAAAAGAACACGGGGAATAGTCCTCAGAGTTCACACAGGAATGGGGATAGTTCCTGTTTCCACCAGCCAGAGTATCAAAGCCTTATCATATACAGGGTACTGACAAGAGTATTCAGAATGACTTAGGCAAAATTAACCGTAGATCAGTGTCCATAAATTTTTTCTATAAAAGCTTATCTAATTTTAGGCTTTATAGTCTAAGAGGCAAAAGCAAATTTATTTTGTAGGTGCTTGCATAACAAGAGAGAAAACTCTTTTTCTCCCTCTTCCTCATTTGACCTAGAGGGGCAGGCTGTCCCTGTTTTGGGAATGCCTTGTCCTAATTGTCATCTGGGAATGTTCTTGGGATGAAAGTAACCAGCCTTAATTAAGGGGGAGGGCTTGCCCTTAAGATTGTGTGGGAGGGGAAGGGTGGTCACCTTGGGCGATTTTGTTCTCTGCCCAGTGACACCTAGATCCCGGTGCCCCTTTCTCTCCTCCCAGAGAGCCTGGCTGTCTTAACAGGGAAGACAAGCATCTAAAGGGAAGTTGGCTTGCTAAATTTCCCACTCCCAGATTGAGATTTCTACTGCATGTTGTTTGGCAGTTGCCAACAGGGAGGTCCCCAGCTTATAGTGGAGATCCAGCTTATAGTGGAGATCCTGAACAGCAGCAAGGCATGGCTGCTAGCAGGCTAGCAGGCTCTGGGAGTAGAGGGGGCCGGCCCGGCTTTGGCTTTGTCTCTGTGTTTCACAGTGCTTAGAGATGCCTTCAAGACATGAAAACAAACTGTAGGCTGAATGTAGGTAGCTTCTAGGCTGTAGTTTGACAACTCAGCTTTAGAGTAAACTGCTCTGGTTCCACCTAGCAAAGTTTAATGTAAGTCTCAAAAGAATTAAACTGGTTTTAAGTAACTCAATTACTTGGAAACATAATTAAAAATTTTAACAAAGCTCCAAATATTTGAAGGCATAAAAATATTTGGCACCCAACAAGGTACAATTCCCAATGTTTGGAATTCAATAAAAAGTCCCAGATATGCAAAGATTTAGGAAAATAAAACCAATAATGCAGAGAAAATAATAAAAAAAATAGAAAACAGACCAGAAATGATATAGATGATAGAATTTGTAGATAAGGGCATTAAAACAGTAATTACAACTACGCTCCATACACTTAATAAGTAGAAGAAAGTCTGAACATTCTAAGGAGAGATAAGATATCAAAAAAAAAAAAAAACCCACGTGTCACTTCTAGAAAAAAAATTGCAATGTCTAGAATAAAAAATGCAGGGGACAGGATTAACAGCTGATTAGACACTGGAGAAGAAGGGATTGGTAAGCTTGAAGACACAGCAATAGAAACTTTCCAAAATGAAACAGAAAAAAGATTGAAAAAGAATATGAACAAAGCCTCAGTTAGTTGTGGGACAAGCTTAAGTGGCCTAATAAATTGGTGGGGGGGAGTTCTTAAGTATATTTTAAGACATAATGGATGAAAAATCTATAAATTTAATAAAAGTCTTATAACCACATATGCAAGAAGTTCAATGAACCTAATGTAGAAATGTAAAGAAAACTGTAATACAGCACCTGATATACCGAACGGTTTTAAAATGTCAGAAGTCAGACTGTCATAATTGAGTTTACCGTTAATATAAGGAGGGTGAGGAAAGTAAGGATGTATGAGACTACTTGGGGGGACAGATTTAGCATCATGAAAATGGAGACTTCAAAGAGAATATAAAACTTCTGGTAGCTTCTATGTGTTAAGCATTTAGGTTGTTACTTCTGACTGAAATTATATGTTTTGAAGTTGGAAAATGATGTAAGGTCTCATTCATTGATTAACTCACTAACATTCATTTAACACACATTTGAGCTCTTATTTCTACAAAAGCACATTAGGACACATAAAAATGAAGAGCACCAACACTGGCCTCAGACAGCTGATAATCTAGTTAACTTCCAAGTGCTATGGCCTAAACAATTTTACAAGTGTTTGACAGACACATATATAGCTTTTAGCTGTTTTTTCCCTATTTCCTTGTCACATATTGCGATGAACATGAAATTACAACTAATTTAAAAGAAACACTCTTTCCTGAGTTATCTACGTCTTCTTAATGTGTGAAATCATCCTTTAGGAGGACTGAGGGAGTGGCATTGTTTACGGTAAAAATAGTTTTCCATTTAGTCACCTCTTTAATTCATTATTCTTTACCTTTAGCACAAATGTTTCCTGAAGTGTCTTATCTAAAACTTTATGACAAGCAAAAAATGTAAGAGTCACACTGTGGTGCACAAATATTTATAAACAAATATGAAATAAATGAGTACACCCCAGGAAAATGATCCTTACCTAGGAGTATATGCAAATATGAAAATGAATGCACATTCCTCAAGAAAAATATGACCTTTAAACAGGTCTATGTACTATAGTAGTAGTCACCACCATAAAACAATAACCTGGAATAGATAATGAAACATAAAATAGTTCAGCCTTGAAGATAAGTCCTGGCCCAAGGAAAGCATGGTGCAAGAACCCCAAGGATTGTTCAAGATAATTCATTGAAGTGAAAAAAAACATTCAAAATTTATTTATATTTATTTTTATTTGGCTCCTTAAAATTTTATTTTTGGTAAGTTTTATAATAAACATGTAATACTAGTATACTAGTAATACTTTTATAAATAAACCAGCACATATGCATTAGAGATATAAAATTTTTTTTAAACATATGTGGTGTGTGACCAAAAACATCCAGAAACCACAGGTCTAGACAAGTTATCTTTAAGCATTATTAGAAACAGAATCTTTTTTTAATAGAAAATCTTATGTAAAATCTCAATAACAAGAGAAAAACAGTATTTATTTAAAATATTTTAAAATAGAAACTATGTTTTTCAACTTCTAAGTTACAATGTTTGATTTTAACAAAATCATCCAGAAATTGATGAAGATGATTCGATTTTAAGTGAATGATTATGGACAGCTGTAGTATTTTATCAGCCTCAGCTTCTAGGTTTATTTCTATGAATTCTGCAATATTTATAGAATGATCACAGTCTATTAACAGGTCATCTCATCCTGTTAATGTCTCATCCTGTCTCAGTGCTATATAGATCTCCAACACTACTAGTACTGCTAAATAGATGGGTGAACAAATGAATGAATACTATTATGTGTTATACTTTTTAATTCAATAAGGTAGCAGAAGACACTTTAAGGTCACTTTAAACTATTTTAAAAAAGTAACACCTATGTTAAAGTTTGATACATGGCAGCCCACAAACACTTTAATGTGTTTTAAAAGTTTTAAAAGTTACTTAAAGAGCTTAAAATATATGAAAAATTAAGTAAAAATCAAATATTTGCAGACTTTTTCCTTTTTGTTGCTACAAAAGATAGAATAGAGAAAGATGCCAATGGATAAGGTCTGTATATTAAGTAATAGTATTGTATCAACGTTATTTTCCTTATTTTAATAATTGTTTTATGGATATAAAAGAGAATGGTCTTGTTCTTAGGAACCATACACTGAACTACTTAGAGGTAAAGAGCCATAATATCTGTAACACATTCTCAAGTAGTTAATTTTCATCTATTTTTGAGTCAAAATTCACAACTTAAACCATGTTGAATGATCTGCTCAAGAGCTAACTATTAGGTGCCACTCTACTACTTTTATACACAGTCTTGTTGAACAGGCTGAGAAAAGATTGAGAGTGATTCCAAAGGAAATGCCGGTTCAAAATGATTGTTCTGAAGAACACCAGGCTGTTGTTCAGACAGTGCCACATCCTCTAAGAAAGGAGATGTGAATACTTCACGAGATATGTTTGTCAATAAGAGATACATTTGATACAGACCCACAAGCACATGCACATATAACTTAAGATGTCACTCAGTTTATTTGACCTAAACCATTTATAGCTTTAATAGCTTTCTGAAATTATCTTTTTAAAATTAGTTTATAACTTTATTGCCTTTCTACCACATACTAGAAAGTCAATTTGGTTGGCCAGGTGCAGCGGCTCACGCCTGTAATCCCAGCAGTTTGGGAGGCCGAGGAGGTCGGATCATGAGGTCAGGAGCTCGAAACCAGCCTGACCAACATGGTGAAACCCCATCTCTACTAAAAATACAAAAATTAGCCGGATGTGGTGGTGCCTGCCTGTAATCCTAGCTACTCAGGAGGCTGAGGCAGGAGAATCTCCTGAACCCAGGATTGAGGCAGTTCAAGCTCTTGAAATGCAGAGGTTGCAGTGAGCCAAGATCATGCCATTGCACTCCAGCCTGGGTGACAAAGTGAAACTCCGTCTCAAAAAAAAAAAAAAAAAAAGAAAATAAATTTGTGAGACAGGACATACACACACAGATATGTGCCTCTCTCTCTATCTATCATCTATCAACTATTTATTTATTGAGAAAGAGAAAGAAGAAGAGAGAGAAGGATAGGTAGCTGATAACATCAATGTAAAACATTAACAATGGGGAATCTAGATGAATATAAGCGTACTATGGGAATATGAGAGCATTATTCTCACACTTTTCAGAGAGCTTGAAATTATTTAGAATCTAATATTATTTGAAAATTATTTGAGATCATTGCAGAAGAAGATTGAACTTGAGAATCTTGAAAGGAGTTATGTAGAATGAGGCTAATATGATTGAAAATTATGAAGTTTCTTTATGTCTTACAGTGATTTAAGTCATGGTTGGCTCATAGTTGTCATGTTGCCTTAGAGGCCTGTTTCATTCTATCTTATAGAATACTTTACCAAAAATCTGTGTCAAATCACTTTAAAGGTAACAGATATTCAATCAATTTTAAGATATTTATATTAAAGATATTTTCAGAAAAAAATAAAAGAAATAAATAATGATTTAAAAACTCACTTCACAGGTATCTATTCCAAAAAAAAATCATGGTAAGCCAAAGATCAATTTTAGATTTTTTGTCTTTTCTCTACTTTTGAATAAAAGTGAACAGCCTTATCCAAACTTGTAATTTGATTAAATTCTACAAACATGTACACAAATGAAGAAGCATGAACCCTGTCTACAAGGAGGTCACAATCTTCCACAGAAGAGGAGGAGTAAAATAGGGTAAAAAATAAAGAGAAGGTCAGGTGTGGTGGCTCACACCTGTAATCCCGGCATTTTGGGAGGCCAAGGCAGGCAGATCACTTGAGATCGGGAGTTTGAGACCAGACTAGTCGACATGGTGAAACCCCATCTCTACTAAAAATACAAAAATTAGCCAGGTGTGGTGGCGCATGCCTGTAGTCCCAGCTACTCCGGAGGCTGAGGCATGAGGAGGTGCAGGTTGCACTGAGCTGAGATTGCACCACTGCGCTCCAGCCTGGGTGACAGAGTGAGACTCTGTCTCAAAACAAACAAACAAACAAGAAAGAATAAAGAGCAAAAATAGACATTGGCTCATAGAGGTATGGTCAAATTGTGCATTTATGGGCTTCATATGTTTTGCAAAGTATTTATGGTCAGGGTTAGAAATGGAGTCAAAATTACAAATCAATGAGCTGTAATTTGAGGGGCTGCTGGAAGATTCCATCTGCTCAAAATTTTCACTTCAATTTATTACACATTGCCTGAGACTACTATAGAATGAAAATGTCTCATAAGATGTAGACCAGTAAGTCACTATTCTCTCATGGAAATCTCTTTATTCAGGTGTTTTGGTCTTCATGATATCTAGAAGAGGATTTTAAAGAAAAAGCAGTTTGGGAAGATCAAGGGTAATTTGGACATAGAATGGAAGAATTGGGTGGAATCCTGGAAGGAACAGAATACAGAGACTCAGAAAGGGAGGATGGCCGAGAATACACATTGCCTCTTTATGCATTGCTTTTGGTCAAACTTATTTGTACAATGGCATTAAATTGTCCAATAATATAAATGTGTACACTTTCTACATCATAGAATAATGTAAAGATATTTTCTGTGTTCAGTCTAAACTACAGCTATGAAGAGAAGTTCTTCAATTATGACAATCTAATTTTATGAAATGTGAGAAAAGATCAACTATTTTTTGAAACCTTAAGCCAAAAAATTTAAAGAAAGAATAAAAAGCTATATTTATATTTGGGATAAAGAATATTAGAAATAGGTTGAAATAATATGAAAGAAATGTAACATTTTTTATGAAAGCATACTGGCTGTGCGCAGAAATGTATGGAGGGGTGAGTTTATTTATGCATACATCAACAACAAGGCTTGGCATTTATAATTTAATCCATAATAATGACTTGCTTAAAAATAATCACTAGACACCACTCTGTTCTATTGTCTTGGCAGAAAATGATACTCAATAGTCTGGGAAAAGACTGAGAGTGATTCCTAACAGAGACTCTCTTCTTGATAAAACTTCAGACAGGCTCCCCTGAGCTCTTTTTTCTTTTTTCTTTTTTTGGTGAGATGGAGTCTCACTCTGTCGCCCAGGCTGGAGTGAGTGCAGTGGCGCGATCTCGGCTCACTGCAAGCTCCGCTTCCCGAGTTCACGCCATTCTCCTGCCTCAGCCTCCCGAGTACTTGGGACTACAGGCGCCCGCCACCACGCCTGGCTAATTTTTTGTATTTTTAGTAGCGACGGAGTTTCACCATGTTAGCCAGGGTGGTCTCGATCTCCTGAGCTCGTGATCTGCACATCTTGGCCTCCCAAAGTGCTGGGATTACAGGCGTGAGCCACTGCGCCCAGCCACTGTTTTTTCAATGAGGTCTCATCCTTGGGCTCTGCCTTTGGCCAGGCAAGAGGAGTTTCAGCAAGAATCCTGTTAAGCCAGTTTAGAGAGAATCCCCACTTGGTATCTTATCACTTTCATTTTCTGATCAAGTTCCTCATTCTTTACCTTTGAGTCCTTAGCCTGCCTTCAGCAAGAGTCCTGTTGTTTTAGCAAGAATCACACCACTCCACTTTTCCTATCTCCTCTTAGTAATTTACTATTCACTGACCCTTCACTCTCCTTGCTGGGTATAAGTCCTCAACTCTCTTTGTTGTATTCAGAGTTAAGCACAATTTCTCTCATCTTTCACAATTGTCTTGACATCAAATGCAGTAGTCCTGAATAAAGTTTTTCTTACTGTTTTAACAAGGGTCAAAATAAATTTTTCTTTAGCTCTCCAAAGTAAATGTGAATGCAAAAAGATTAATGAAGAAAAAATACTAGACTGGTTGTCCATATAGGACGATGTCCTCCAAGAAAGGAGATGTGCTTCTTTCAAGAGATACATTTGTCAATATTGCCCATATAAATGCAAAACATGTTGAAAGGGATCACTGCTTTTTTTTTTTTTTTTTTTTTTTTTTTTTAGGACAGAGTTTCACTCTGTCCCCCAGGCTGGAGTGCAGTGGCACAATCTTGGCTCACTGAAACTTCCGCCTCCCGGGTACAAGTGATTCTCCTGCCTCAGCCTCCTGAGTAGCTGGGATTACAGGCACACACCACCACGCCCAGCTAATTTTTTTGTATTTTTAGTAGAGATGAGGTTTAACCACTTTGGCCAGGCTGGTCTCGAACTCCTGACCTTGTGATCTGCCCACTCCGGCCTCTCAAAGTGCTGGGATTACAGGTGTGAGCCACTGTGCCCGGCTGCGATCACTCTTTTATTGCCTTGACCTCAGGCAGGAATAAGTTTGGCGTGCTTAAGAACTAGCAGAAAGGCTAGTGCAGCTGGAGCTTACTCTGTGAGGGAGAGCGTGGGGAGAAACCTATGTATGTATGTATGTACGTATGTATTTATTTTTTTGAGATGGAGTCTCACTCTGTCGCCCAGGCTGGAGTGCAGTGGAACGATCTCGGCTCACCACTGCAAGCTCCGCCTCCTGGGTTCACGCCATTCTCCTGCCTCAGCCTCCCAAGTAGCTGGGACTACAGGCGCCCGCCACCACGCCTGCCTAATTTTTTGTATTTTTAGTACAGATGGTGTTTCACTGTGTTAGCCAGGATGGTCTTGATCTCCTGACCTCATGATCTGCCTGCCTCGGCCTCCCAAAGTGCTGGGATTACAGGCATGAGCCACCACGCCCGGCCGAAACCTATGTATTTATTAAGTGAGGGAAGTATTTGTTGACATGTTTGATTTCTGTGGTTAATGTGTAGAATTCCAAATGCTGGTAGAAAGATCAACCTTAACATTCCAGGAAGTTCTCACCTATTTAATAAGCATTTAATGAGCATCACTGTATACAAGGCATGGTGTTGGATGTTGCAGAAAATGCAAAGGAAAGGCTGTATTGAACATATGACACTTTAACCTAACATGGAGAACAGAGAACACAGAAAGTGGTATAAAACCTGAACAGTCTGGAATTATCAATTGGAATCCATACAAGTGAATGGTAACAACAGCAGACAGCAAGGATTTCCCTAGAAAATGGATTAGGCTTGCAAAACATACCACAGAGAGCTACGTTTTTCTGCATTTGTAGAAACAAATAATTTGTGCTGCCAGAGGAAGACAGTGGAAATTAATGCCAGAACTCAGGTTTAATTTTCTCTCAAATAAAAAATAATAATTATAATATTCATGAAAAACATGTGTCATGCCCTGTAGAGGCTCAGCCAATTATTCATTTATTCATAATTTTGTGTCTCTGGTATCAGACACATGGTGGGGAAGCAGCAAGAGGTGCCAGGATTCTGCATGAAATTAGATGGCAAGCCATGGAGCCGTCTCCCTCCCAGCTCACATTTATATAAATAACTCCTCCCACCTTCCAGGCAGGATTTGAATGAATGCAGAGGAAGGAAATTAAATCACTCTATCCATCAATATCAAGGCAGGGTTGCCAATAAATGCATCCAACAGAAAGCATTTTAAAATGCTCTTTTAGCCTGTAGAAAGTTGCCGCTATGGAAAAGACATGGACTTCATACGACCATAATTTATTGAAATGTCCTCTCATCTCTTAATTTATTGGTAGATTAGAGCGTAATGTTAATAAAATTAAGGTCATAGGGCATAATCCTTTTTCAGACCTTTTTTTGGGTGTGCATTTCTCATCCTTGGGTAGAACCCTTTCCTCTAAAGCCCAATTAAAAAAAAAGTCAAGTGAAACCAAACATTTTGGGGGCTTATCTCCTTTTCCCTTAAGTTTTGCTTTCTTTGCCTTTCCCTCAGCAACACAAAGTTCTCTCTCTCTCTTTTCTCTTCTCTCTTGCTGTCTCTCTCTCTGACACACACACACACACACACACACACACACACACACACACACACACAGAGTTGTCGTTTTTCTTTCTGAAATAACACGACTGGTTCTACAAGATTACCCAGCAGTTTAAGACTGCCTTTTAGTTAAACTAGAATAAGAGTGAAACAAAAGAGATTGATCAAAGAAAGGATGGCAGGCTCCTGAAACACATTGACCCACAGTACGGCAGAGCAGTGACAGAAATATCTGCTCTGTAGAAACCTGGACACTGCTGTCAAGTGACATGGAAGCATCCAGCCTAGCTGACCACTGTATCTCATGGAAAGTAGAGCAAGTGATTAGAAGTAAAACTGCCCTGAATCGAATTCTGAAACAGTGTCAGAATTATCAGCTCCTCCTCTATATTCCCAGAGTGCCCTACACTTATTTTTTGTTACTGTGTGTTTTTTTTGTTTTGTTTTGTTTTTTAACAACTTGTACTTATTATGTTCCTCTCCTAACTCTCTTGGCTTAGCTTGGAGCTCCCTCTCCCTTCCTTACAGTTCCTGCAGTGTGGGGCAGCAAGAAAGATGGCCTAGTTCTCTGGAAGAGAACAAAGGGCTGACCTTGCTTAGGGAGGTGGCAGCTGCCTGCCAAGGGACAGGTCCTTGTCTGAGAGAGTTAGGAGCACACGGAGGATTCAGAGGCAGGAAGGCAGGGCCAGCAGCAGCCAAGAGAGGGCCAGTGAGGGCCGAACTAGATAGAAAGGGGCTGCTCCTGGGTCTTGTAAGCGGGATGTGCTACTCGGCCTGTGGGCCCTACTTCAACTGTCTAAGGGGCCATAGTGGTGGGTAGTGAGGCTCTGAGGAGGGGCAAGTAGTGGTGGCAATTGAGCAGTGAGGGAGACACAAGGGGAAGGTATGAGTCAGGGTTCTTCTCAGCCTGGGAAAAGAAACCCCTCCTTCCTCAACAACGGTTCACAGAACCCTTAGCATTGATACACTACTCTGGGCCAGAGGTCCCAACGTTAGACAGACTTATTGGGAAACCGCCCCAGGTTAGGCGCTCTTCTTCTGTGTCCTTGGAACATCGCTTAGTCCTTACACAGCAGCTCAGCATGCTGTGTTGTAGTTGCGTAATTATAAACCTTTTAATAGAGGGGCTGTATTGTATTCGCTCTTATGTCCTTAAAGCCTAGCATGGCACCTACCATATAGTAATCACTTAACAAATACTTTTCTTTTTTGGTAAATGCTTCTCAAGTAGAAACAAATACTTTTTCAATCAGAGGAATACATAATTTTGAGCAGGACAATCCTTTAATTTTTTTTTAAAATGTAAGAAATAATCATACTATAAAATTTGTCATCTCCATCAAGAAACCATGGTAGCTAAAGGCTACTGTGAAGGAATTAAATAAAATTGTATTTGATTGTCTCAAAAGGGCATTAACATACATGTGAAAATACCATCCCACCTACATTTCAGCCTGGATTACAGACAATGCTTGGTTCCCAAATGGATCAGCATTCTCTTGAATGACCCTGATTTTAGTAGTTGCCTGTACAGGGAGAAGCCACAGTGTGTCTGGTGGTGTCAGCTGCTGGTTCGTGTTGCTTTCCTTATCCTTCCAGTGCTAGAGAGCAAATATTTGGCTATGCCTTTGTCGGGATGGGGTTGGTGGGGGCGGAGGGATATCTGTGTAAGAGTAAAGATGAAAAAAATCACCATTCCTTCGGGACTAAACAAAGCTGACTCTCACATACTGCTTTGACAGTGGGCTTGCTAGAATTAACAATCATGAACATCTTAAGTGCTTATTAAGATTTCATGGACTATTCTAAGTGCTTTACATACTCCTCACAGTAACCCTGCTAGGTAGGCAATATCGTTGCTCCATGTACAGTCAAGAAAGCTGAGTAGAAATCTTAAGTTAGGCTGGGCGCGTTGGCTCACGCCTGTAATCCCAGCACTTTGGGAGGCTGAAGGGGGTGGATCACAAGGTCCGGAGTTCGAGACCAGCCTGGCCAATATGGTGAAACCCTGTCTGTACTAAAAATACAAAAATTAGCCAGGCGTGGTGGGCCTGTAGTCCCAACTACTCGGGAGGCTGAGGCAAGAGAATCGCTTGAACCCAGGAGGTGGAGGTTGCAGTGAGCCAAGATAGCGCCACTACACTCCAGCCTGGGCGACAGAGCAAGATTCTAGTCTCAAAAAAATAAAAATAAAAAATAAAAAAATAAATAAATGTTAAGTTACTTGTCAAAATTCACTTACAGAGTAAGTGACGGAGGCAGGATTGCAATCCAGACAGCCTGGCCCAAGAGTGCCCACTCACAATCACTACACAATCCTGCTGCATGTGCAAACTGCATCCAAATCCAAACACATACCTCTTGATACCACAGAGCCAGAATCAGCCCTCTACCACCCAAAATGTGGATTTAGTGCTAATGGAGAAAAGAGGCCTGGGCCTGCCTTAAAGCATTTAGAGATGGAGTCATCTGGTCTTTTCTCAAATCCCTTTCCCTCTATTAGACCTCCTCAAGGCCTGGGTTGGAATTACTCTCCCACTCATTCCTCAGTGTTACCTCTCTAATATCCTTGTTACAGACTCTGTTGCACGGTGCTCCCTTGTGGGCTCCCTGTCGCCTCATTGGATGTTTACTTCTAAAGGGCAGGAAGTGTGTCTTTACCATCTTATATCGCCCTCAGTTATCTAGCACTGTGCCTGGTATGAAAAAAGTCTTCAATAAATTGGGGGAAGAAGCAATGGATATAAAATAACAACGTAAGGCAAAGTGGCTCCCACGTTACAGCTGGTATTGTAGCAATCCTGCTGTTTTTGGGCTAGAAAACATATCACAACTCTTTTTATAACATATTTTTAAGCTTTTATAAGTCTTCATCTCATGATTCATATAAATTGATTATTGATCTTTTCAGAAACTAAATTTCTCTATGACAGGGGATTTTAAACATTTTTAATATAAGACTTTCTGGAGTTCTGAGTGAGCCTCTGCTAGAGAAGGAGGAATGGAGAGAGGGAAAGAAGAAGGGAGAGAAAGAAGGAGGATAGGGAGGGGTAGGAAAGCAAGAGAAATATCAGTGTTATCAAAATCCTAGATTATTACTGAGAAGAAAGCTGAAATTTTGTTAACACCTTTCCTCCAATTAATCCGGAAATGGAATAGTGCTAATAGGGTGTGGAGAGAAGCAGTGAGGTGCAAATGGAACGGTGATAGTGGGAAAGGTGAGAAGAGGGTGGGAAGGGCTGGGCATTTACACCCATCTCATTGCGGCCCAGTGACAGAGATGGGGCTCATGCTGAGCACAACTTGTGCTAATGAGCACTGCTGCCTTATCTGCTCCCAACCCCTTCTGGGAACTCCTTGAAATTGCTACTCAATAGCACTTAGGAAACACTTGCTATAAATCATATAGAACCAAGAATCCAGCCCCATGACAGGATGCATACAGCTAGGCACAATTAGAGACAAGGTTTTCCCCAAACAGTTCTAATCTAAAATATTCTGTCCTGGTCACCCTAGAAGCACGTGTAAACTTGTCAATCCATGTGCTTTGATTTTTATTTGAAAATATATTCAACAGAAACTAATGACATGAATACTCTGAGATAGGACTGGCTGCAAAACATGTATGGCGTTCACTAGTCCTTTGCTCCGGATAATGTCAATACTCTGCCAAGACTCTCCAGTGACTTTTACTAGCTCCAGAAGAAAATCTAAAATCCTTGCCTCATCCTCAAGGCTCTATTGGATCTGATCCCTCCTCCTCTACCCTTTAATCACTGCCTCCCAGTGACACTGGCCTGCTTTCTGTCCTGTGAACATGCCAAACCTGCACCTGCCTCAGGGGTTTTGGCCTTGCTCTTCCACCCTCCTAGAATGTTCTTCCACTTGAAGCCATTTACAGTGGGCTCCTTCTTATGGTTCAGACTTGGATTCAGATGTTAGCTCCACAGGACACCTTTTCTTACAGCCAAACCTCAGCTAGCACTATCCCCTCCCCAGATACTTTCTTGGGCATGGCCCTCTAATATCACCTTCATGGCATTTATCATGATCTATAATCACCTTATTTACAGGTTTAGTTGTTTATTTTCTGTTTTCCTCACTGGAATATAAGTTACAGTGGGGCAGGGCCCATGTCTCTCCAGCTGCTAGGATAGTGTCTAGCACATAGCAGGTACTTAATAAATGAATAGTAGGTATCCGTCTTGATCATTTTGGACTGATATAACAAACTGCTCTAGACTGAGTGGCTTAAAAATAACAGAAATTTATTTCTCAGAGTTCTGGAAGCTGGAAGATCTAGATCAAAGTGCTGGTAGAGTCAGTGTTTGGTAAAGGCCCAGTTCCTCGTTCATAGACAGTTGTCTTCTTGCTGGGTCCTCACACAGTGGAGGGGGTAAGGGAGCTCTCCAGAATATCTTTTCTTTTTTCTTTCTTTCTTTCTTTCTTTTTTTTTTTCTTTTTGACAGAGTCTCACTATGTTACCCAGGCTGGAGGGCAGTGGCATGATCTCGGCTCACTGCAACCTTTTTCTTCCAGGTTCAAGCAATTCTCCTGGCTCAGCCTCCTGAGTAGATGGGATTATAGGTGCCTGCCACCACACCTGGCTTTTTTTTTTTTTTTTTTTTTTTTTTGAGATGGAGTCTTGCTCTGTTGTCCAGGCTGGAGTGCAGTGGCACAGTCTCGGCTCACTGCAACCTCCACCTCCTCCTGGGTTCAAGCAATTCTCCTGTCTCAGCCTCCCGAGTAGCTGGGACTACAGGCGCCCACCACTACACCCAGCTAATTTTTTGTGTTTTTAGTAGAGACGGGTTTCACCATGTTGGCCAGTCTCACTTGAACTCCTGACTTCAAGTGATCTGTCTGCCTCAACCTCCCAAAGTGTTGGGATTACAGGCGTGAGCCACCATGCCTGGCCCAGAATTTCTTTCATAAGGGCGCTAATCCCGGTCATGAAGGTTCTGCTCTCATGACTTGATCACCTACCAAAGTCCCTACATTGGGGATTAGGTTTCAACATATGACATTCTGAGGGACATACATATTCAGTCTGTAACAGTATCTAATAAATAGATTTGATAAATAAAACTGTCTTGTCCCCTTTAGTAGTTAAACACAGTGTTAAGGACATAATAAGCCTCAGAAATTTGTCTCCACATTCCTTTTCTTGCCCTTTGATCTGCTCCTTTGTCCTTTGGGAACTTCTCACTTGTCGTTTTGGTTCTTCAGCCCCTGAACTAATATTGTCTTACAGAAAAAACACATTCTTCAGTCCACATATAGTTATACTAACTCCTGCAATATTCAAAGATTACATCTAAGTAGCCCTCTCTTGGGAATGGGGTAAGTGGGAGAAGAAAATATCTTTAAATGGAAAGAGAATTAGATGCATTTTGGCTTCATTTTTCTCTTTGCACATTTCCACAAGACTCATAAACCACAGGCTGTAGGAAGGCAGAGAGGTTACTCAGCTGGCCATAGTCATTCCCAGGCTTACCCTTGGCCATGTTATTATTTCTCAGTATGTAGTACTTTCTTATGCATATTATATGCAGTGATTCATATCGATTCTTATTAGCTAGAAGAATGTGGTTAGCTTTCTGAATGTATTCGAACTCTGATTCCTCTATGTCTGCCAACAAATGCAAAGCAGCACCTAAAACAACTTGTCTTGTTATAAATTTCTCAGAATAAACCACTTAATGTTGATAGTGTCGTGTGACTAAATCCTTTATTTCTCACATTTGTGGGGCGGGGGACTCAACATGAAAGCCAGGTCTTCTAATTCATGATATTTACTCATTTGAAATAAACATTTACTGCAAACCTTCTATATTCCAGGCAGCAGGCAAGGTGCCGGGGATACAAAGTCTAATGAGAGATGCTTCTTTCATATTTTCAAGGATCTTGTACTCTAAACCTATGAATATAGTCCACAGAGACTGTGGACTGTGATGGAGACATGCATAGGGAACTATGGACACATGAAACATCAGTTCCCCTCAGACAGGTAAGCTCCATGTGGGCAGTAACTTGTCTATTCCATATCTCAGTGTCTAGAACAGTGGCACATAATAGGCATTCAATGAATACTTGAAAATTGAAGGAAAGAAGGAAAGAAGGAAAGAGGAAGGAAGGAAGGAAAGAGAAATAAATAAATAAATAAATAAATAAATAAATAATGCTGTCCAGTAAGATTTCCTGGAAGGAAGATTGAAAAGCGGTCTACTTGAGGAAGAATAGTAAGGAAGGACATTCTTACTGACCCTGACCCTGCTTTGCCCTGGGATTTCTAGGCTGGGAAAGATGCTCAGGCTATTGCAAACCACTGTGTGAGATGATGAAGCATCTGTGAATATAACTTGGGAATAAATACATTTATTTATGTACTTTTATATCAGAATTCTGTGTTCATTGATGGTGGGATCTAAGTTTTTCTCCCTGAGACAATGCAGTTAAAAGACTATTGTAGTATTATTTGCCATAAGAAAATGCGTCCTTTGAAAAACCAAGGGATGTTATCATCAAGTCTCTTCTCTCTGCATGGCACTTTTGGACTGAGAAGTGTTTTTCAATTAGGGATATACCAGTTGAGAACTTTGACCTCCCACTCACAGACTAACCTTCTAAGGAGGTTGGTCTTGCCTTTTGCAGTCATGTCTGTCAGTCAATCAATGGTGTTGGCTGAGGATCTCATAGGTGCATAGAAAGTAAGGACTTTCTATGAGGTTATAAGAACTAGAAATGATTTTCTACATTAGTATCAAGCTTTATAAGGTGCTTCCTAAGAACAATTTGGGATACATTGAGCAGATACTTTGGTGTTACTCTTCCTGTTTTACCAAATAAGATTGAGGCTCCAATTGATTAATTGATTTGCTGAATATAATGAAGCTAAATAATGGGAGAGTTGGGTCTTAGAGTTTGGCTCTAGGTCCAGCACTCATTCTCCTACTCTGCATTCCCTCCAAGGGAACAGCAAGACCTGATCCACCAAGGACATAAAACAAACAAAAAAGCGTGCTCCTGCGGCAGTATTAGGGCCTGGGGTAGAAATATTGATGTATTTGTTGATGTTTTGTGGCCATCAAAGCAACCAGATTTACCTGTTTCTGATGTGTGAGTTAAAATAAAATAGATTATGCTGCATTAAGAAATGATCTCAAAGTCTTAGTAGCCTTTACAATAAAAGGATATTTCTCACTCACGCACTCCATGTCCACAGGGAGTTCTGCTCACTGCCCCAGTCTGAGGGAGGCTCCACCTTGACATGCTGCCATAATAGGCACTCAATAAATACTTAAAATAAATACATAAAAGGCAGGGCAAAGGAGTATGGTTAGCTGTGCCTTGGCTGTTAAAGCTCCTGCCTGGAAATGACAAATGTCAATCCACTACCGTTTTGTGACCAAAGTCACATGGCAAAGTCTGTCATCAGTATTCTTCTAGGAAAGGGCAATTAATATGCATGAACAATAGTACAATCTAGCAAGGTTGCTCAAGCAGCTTTCATTATATTTTAAGCTATAAAAGTGATGGACAACACCATTGCCAAACCAGCACCTCTGCATCGGAAACACAGTCACCTGACAAGGCTGTCAACACTTTGTGCTTCTGCTGGAGGATATCTTTGGGCAGGGATATGATCTCTTTGCCAGAGAAAAAAGGAGCAGCTGCTAATCAGGGCTCTGAGTTCTCTATGCATGCAAATGACCTGCCTGAAATTGTTGAATCAAAGCAGCTATGAAATATCTTACACTTTTTATAGCCAGCCACTAGTCTAAGGTCCATGAAGGGAAGGACTCTACCTATTTTATTTACCAACGAATATTCAGTACCTAGCACAATGCCTGACATATACAGTGTTGATAATAGCCAATATATGTGCCACTCTTAAAAGACTTTATTGTATTAGCTCTTTAAATCCTCATGACAACTCAACACAAGAAGGAGCTGTTATTATTCCCATTTTACAGATGAGGAAACTGTGGCACAGAGAGCTTACATAACATGCTTGAGTTCCTTAGAACATTAGTGAGTAGGAATTTGAACAAAGAGAGTTTACACTTTTACCCCTATTATTTCCTTGATTGAACAACAAAAAAACTCATATTATGTTGCAAAGAATAAATGTTCAATCTATTAATTGAGTATTCATTTTCATTTGTGAATTTGGTGGTAGGAGTTAGGTTAAAATCACTTCATTGGCAATTTATCAGAAGGTACTACTTCACTATTTTGAACCCAGCAGTCTTACTATACTAGCAGTCATAATCATCAATCAATAGCCTAGGTAAAGGCTCAGTTAAGCTCTTCAAATATCATTTTGGCATTCTGTGTAAATGAGGAGCCAGGCTGGTAAGAAAATTGAAAGGTGATTCAATCAGCCAGCAGGTGGAGAAGACATAATCAGAGAAAATCAGGGGTCCAACCCATCTAATCACCCATGGAATGTGCTGGCTTCATTCTGGGTGAAGTGTTCTGTTGTTACAAATGCTACAAAATAGAGCAGCCCACACAAGTGTTACCATTTTCGTTTTGGCTGGTGTTCTGAAGAGCAAGCACATGAGGACAGATGGCAAGCTATCATTTCAGGCCTGCCTTCTGGCTCACCTGCATGTAGCCACATAAAGCTTTCTCATTTCCTAAGAAAGCCTTTCCTATCTCAAGTCATATTTATAGCCTCTGACTCATCCTCATTACTCCTCCTAGATATCTTAAAGCCTTTCTTAAGGTCAGAAAGTCTGCCAACATAGAGCTTGCCGCTTGAACTGAGGGGTTCTTCTTGTAGCACTCTAATTATATTAAAGCCTGGAGCTCCAATTTTTACTCACCAACAGGTCTAGTTTTAATGTTCACATTCTGAAACAAAATCGCTTTCCCCATTTCAGTGTTCTCTTTCAGGGTCTAAATAGATATAACTTTATCATAGCAAATTTGTTACTCTCAATGTCTAGAATAGGTAAGAATAACAGAGAAGAATTTCCTGATCACTAAAGCAGCACTATTCATTTATGGCATAGTGTTCCTGTCGCTCCATATGCTGGACGCTCTGTGATGCATTAACAAATGATTTTGTGAGCTTTTGCATTTCTCTGGGTCAGGGATTGTAAATTTAAATACCTTTGGTGGCTAGACAAGTATGTAAGTAGAGTAGGGCTTGGGCCTGCTGCCCCAAAGCTCTGCCCAATTTTTGCTGTATGGGGAAGCAGGCTCTATGCTGCTAGATCAGTTTTTTTCCAAGAGAAGGTCAACATTCAGGTTTTTAAAAATGTACAATCTTCTGATTTTTAAATGCTATCTTAATTTTAAAATATTATGGATAAAGGGCATTTCAGGTAAAGGGAACTAGAGAGAACATGATACATTTGGAGAAATTCAAGTCATTTGATGTGATAGGGTGGTGAGTGCTTAGTGGGGAATAGCAGGAAATGGGACTAGACATTCACTTGCATCTTACTTGCAGGTGACATGGTTAGATTTACATTTATATTAGAATGGTTAAGAGGTGGTCTAAGAGGAGAAAACTGGGGTGGGGATAGGAACCAAGAGGATATCACAACAGTCCCAGGGATCATGTTGAGAACAGAACATGGGCAGTGTGTTAGTCCATTTTGTGTGGCCACAAAGGAATACCTGAGACTGGGTAATTTATAAAGAAAAGAGATTTGGCTGATGTTCTGCAGGCTGTACAAGCATGGACCAGCATTGACTGGGCTTCTGGTGAGTACTCAGAAAGCTTCTACTCATGGTGGGAGGTGAAGGGGGAGCAGGCATGCTACTTGGTGAGAGTGGGAGCAAGAGAGAGTGGAGGAGATGCCAGGCTCCTTTAGACAACTAACACAAGGTTCCTGTTCCCTACAAATGTGCCAGGGCAGATTCAGAAACTATCTGAACTATTTTGAACTATCAGAGCAAGAACTCATTACCATGGGCAGGGCACCAAGCCATTCATGAGGAATCTGCCCCCATGACCCAAACACCTCCCACCAGACCTCACCTCCAACACTGGGGATCACATTTCAACATGAGATTTGGAGGGAACAAATATCCTAACCATATGAGGCAGGGACTTTGAGGGGAGATGGACTTTAGAGATAAGTAGCAGGAAAAGAAGCAGGACATGGTGATGGATTCAATATGGTAGTGAGGGATAAGAAAGCATAGAGGTTGCCACTCAGATTTCTAGGTTGGAAAGGTGGGTCTTGGCTCCTGTCATTTGTTGAGACTATAACAAGAGGGGCAGGAACAGGTAGGCTGGAGTGGTGGGTGGGGGTAAAAATGGAGGTGATGAATTCAGTGTTTGATTAGTTTTGTGCTTGTTAGACAGCCAGGTGGGCTGGAGAAAAGTTGCTGGAAGACATCAGTGTAAAGGTGAGCTTGAACTCATGGGAGCAAATGAGAAACAGCCTGGGAATGGGAGCTGGAGTGCAACAATTTAAGGTAAAGAACAGAGGAGGATGACTTGTGAGATTAATGAAGACATAGTAGTCTCACTCCGATCACTGTTGTTCCTCAGAGACTTAAATCCCACCATAAGCCTCAATTGGTGGGTACAAACAATTCTTCATCTTGCCTGCATATTGCAATGGTTTGGATCGAAGCTGACAAGCGGGAAGCTCACCTTGTATGTGGCAACCTGATGAAAGACTCCTGGTGGATCTAAGTGTGACATCTGTAATAGTCCCTGAAAAGGCCCCAGATGACATGTATTGAATACATAAAGAACTTCAAGTTTTTCTGGGCTGCTCATTCCCTCCCATGCAATTCTTCTTCAAAAGGCAGCCCCAGCCAGGCATTTTATCACACTTTTAAAAGGGCCTACAATGATCTTGGCTCTGACTCTATCAGTGGGCTTTCTAGATATTCAGACAGTTATTGATTTCTGAATCTGCCCTGGCACATTTGTAGGGAACAGGAACTTTGCGTTTTGCCATAGATAACAGCCTCCTGGGCTTGGGCTACAGTTAACTGAAAATATCGCTTAGCACTGGGGCACCAGAGACACCTTTGCTGTTATTATGGGACACATAGTACCTTTAGAATATGGCAACCATACAGCATTTCTGAAACTTATTTCTAGAGATAAATCTATTTACATTTTGCTTATGTAATCTTTAAAAAATGTTTTATTCATTTTAAGTTTTTATTTTTTACAGGGCTGTGTGCTTTTGCTCCATATTTATGGTGACAAGCTTGTATATCTGTATAGCAAAGCCTCATGAATGACAATGTTGTGAGCTGTCTGCCACTGCACATCCCCACATTTCTTAGACCACCTAAATGAAAGTTTCCACATTTGAGATCTCCCTTGTTCAATTTTGTCAGGCTGTTCAAATAACATGGTTAACGCAAAATGCAAAATTGGCTCACTTTCTCAAATGAGTTTGGTGTTGGCATCCAGTAGAGAAACTGCTTTCATTATCTCATGTTGAAATATATTCATAATATTCACTTCAATATTTCATATTTCATTATTTTAGTGGTTCAAACTACTAGAGTTCAAATGATGAGAATGTTATTAACTGTTTTATTCCATGGTTAGAATCATGCCTAGGACACAGCAGGCACTCAATATGTAATTATTGAATAGTAGAAGGAAGTTACTTCCAGGTAATCTTTCAGAGTAATTCTCTCAAAAAGAGCATTTTTAAGGAGAAAAATCATATTGTTATTCTAGGAGGCAGTATTTATCATTCTACAGATAAGGCATCCTGATCATTTGCCTTCCTGGCTAGAGAATATTTTTCTAGCATCTCTTATTGGAAGTAGTTGATGCTCAAAGTTACATTAGAGTCAAACAATATGTCTACGATTAGTTGTGGGGATGATTTAATGAAAAGAGCATTGACTTACAATCAAAGACTTGGGTTTGATACTTACCCCTTCTTACACCACTGTATGCTCTTAAGAAAGACATTTAACCTCTCCCAAGTGGACTTTCTCTTCTGTAAAATGGGATAATAGCTCCCATAAAAACTTGTGAGATAAATAAGTACTTCTCTTCAACTTTTCAGACTCAGGAACAAAGTAAGAGGAAAATAATTAAAAATAATTAATTAAGAAGGTATTGTAGGTTTCTGCCTACCTTTTGAGATTGCTTTTATGATTAAAAGAGACTATATGCATAAATGCCCTTTGTATACTTAAAATTGCTATTTGAGAGGTCAGGCAATTGCTTACTTATAATTAGTGTTGAGTAATTTGTAATTAGTGCTAAGGGATTACTATAAATTCACTTATAGTATAATATTATTATTTATAGTAGATCATGATTAGGATTCAAATAGGGTTTCAGCAGTTTCAGGTATAATTCCTGTGTACTCTATGTTCCATTTAATAACTGATGGTGACTGAGCAGAGAGATATGGCCTGAATACCTATTAAGTACATAGAAAGTGGCTGGTGAGTATTCAATATCATCATGAGATATTGTTACACTGCCAGCCAAGCTACTCATGTATTCCATGAACACTGATTAAAAACTGACTCTAAAGTATTGAGCACATGGTAAAGAAAACTGGTAGAGCACACATGTTTCTCTACTTTAATAGTCTCTCTAGGTACTGAAGACAAATATTAACTTCTAGTTCCAAGCTTTCATGCTAGAAAAGTAAAACCTTGACTCTTGATTTTTCTTCAAATTTCAGATGTGTCAAAATGAATATCAATTTTAATAAAATAAACATTTCATTATAAACATAAGTGGATTAATTGTTGGGGAAAGTGAGCCCAGATATTTTCATTTTTATTTTACTCTCCCCAGTACACTTATTTCATTGAAACGGTAGCTCAGTAAACTCCTACTTAGCTAACATTTTGCAGAGGTGGCCATTCTGGTTCATAAAGTCATACTTCTGTTAACAAGCTCTCCCTCATACTTGTCCCCTTTTTCCCCTTTCCACTACTGCTCCCACAGATTTGGCCAATATCTTCTCTTTCCTATTGGGATGCCCATTGCACTGGCCATCCTGTCTGTAGCCTGTCTTCCACATTGCTGCAGAAGGACTCCACTAATACTTGAACCTGGTGATGTCATTCACTAGCTCAGATAACCTCAGCGGTTTCTCATCACCTACAGGATAGAATCCAGGCACCCTTGAATGGCATGTATGAGTTGGTCCCTGCCTACCAGAGCTATCTCATCTTTTCCTCTCTGCTTATGAACTGGGAACAATTCTAATGGCAGTATCTCAAGACATGTGTTTTTTTTTTTTTTCTCGGACTGGTGTGCTCTTGCTTCATCTGCCTGCCTGGAAACGCCCTATTTTTCCTTTAAATCTGAATGCATACATTACACCTTCTACAAATGTTTTCTTTACCCTCTCTGGGAAGCTTAGATAATTTTGCTGCACTTCTGCAGAAATAGGACATATCACCACAAATCAAAAAATTGTTTTGGACTAAAGTCCAAAACCTTAACATGATCAACCATACCCCATGTAATCTAGCCCCTTCTCATCACTCTCCTGCCCTTCTTCCATTAGGATCACTATGTTCAACTCACACTGACCTTGAAAGTGCATGCTCCTTGCTGCCTCAGGACCTTGGTACATGCTATTTCTTCAGCCTGAAGTCTCTCTGGATCTCCACTCTCACTCCTCACTCCCACTCCCACTCTTTGCTTGGCTATCTCTTATTCACCCTTCAGATTTCACCAGCTGCTACTTTATCAGGGAAGCTTTTCTTAACCTCTCAGACTGTTTTCCCCAGTTATATGCTTACACAGCCTACACATTCAGAGAATGTTATTGACCATTCTGGTCTCAATGACAGTATGTGTTCAATATATAATTAATTGAATAAACCTCTATGTAAACATTTATCTTGCTGATTATACATGTAATATATTTTATCACTAAACTATAAGTTCTCTAAAGAAAAATTATCTTATTTAAAATATTTTGCAATATTTAAGGTATATAAATGTATAAAGCATAATACTCCAAATAAGAAGTCTGTTAAGGTCAATGAAGCCAGAATACAATTGGGAACAAAAGGCTTAAAAAAAAGGCAAGCAGAGATAAAAGAAATTGTGGGTATAAATGTAGACCCAATAGAAACCCAAGATACTGTACACTGCATTGAGCATCCACATCTGGTTCCACTTTTGGCTTTCCCAGCTGAAAATTTCCTCACATCCATGGATGTGGCTTTTAGTCAGTGAAATGAAAGATGCTGAGCTATATAATCTGTAAGTGCTTTTCTATTTCTTATATTTCATGCTGCTGAGACCATTTGGCTGCCTTGATAAGCACTAATCAGCTAGTCTGACAGAAAAGAAATATTCAATTCAGTGGATCTGAGAATACAGTAATAACAAACAAACAATTTCTTCTACCACATTCTTACAACATGCTTCTGACACAAGATATGTGGGGGTTGTCCTCCACACATCAAGCAAGAAATCAATTCTAAAGCAGCTCTCGGAACTCAGGGAAACATGTTTACTTGTTTATTATAAAAGGTATTACAAAGGATACAGATGAAAAGATGTATAGGGTGAGACATATGGAAAGCAGTGCTGAGGTTTCATGCCCTCTCTGGGTATGCCACCCTCTAGAAACCTCCACATGTTCAGCTTTCCGGAAGCCTACTCCTTTTTGGGTTTTCATGGAGGCTTCATTACAAAGGCATGATGATTAAGTCATTGCCCATTGGTGATCAACATAACCTTCAGATCCCTTCCTTTCCTTGAGGTTGAAGATTGGGGCTGAAAGTCCCAATCCTCTAATCCTGCCTTGGTTTCCTGGGTGACCAGCCCAGATCCTGAGCTACCAGTAGGTTGCCAGCCTTCAGTCAACTCATTAGCATACAAAAGATACTTGTCACTCTGAAGATTCTAAGGATCTTATGAGTTGTATGCCAGGAAATGAGGACAAAGACCACATACATATTTCACAATATTACAGTGGAATATTATGATTTCCCCACCATAAGTTCAATTTATGCATT
Source organism: Homo sapiens (assembly GCF_000001405.40). NCBI lineage: Eukaryota > Metazoa > Chordata > Mammalia > Primates > Hominidae > Homo > Homo sapiens. The sequence goes on from NC_000012.12 coordinate 70,838,057, forward strand.
TCTTTTGCTGACCATTACTACAGAGAGAGCTATTGACCTGAAATGTCTTGTCTTGTCTTTGATCCTGAAGACTGGATCTCATTTTCTCCGCATTTCTTTACAAAACAAACAAAAATTTCCAAATGCCACAAAGCATCTTAAGGATATTGACAATAAATAATGTATTGAGGGTTGAGTCCTCAAGACTCGCCCACCTCACTACATTAGGATAGATGTGTTTTCATGAATGAGGTTGCATATTTACAGTCTAACATGGATTTGGTCTCAAAGCAATCCAATTTGCTTAAGTAGGGCTACTAACTGTTTAGCATTAGTTTTATCTACTCTAAAGGTCAATAACACTAAAACATAAGACCTGCTGATGTCATTCTTTCCTAATGCATCTTGACAAAGGAGAAAGCTCTTGTCTGCTGTCAGCATAAAGATGATTTGCATCACAGGTCATTGATTGAGACTATTTGGGAGTGAAAGAGAAGAATCTGGGCTATTTGGAATTTCAGGTTATTTGGTTGGCTGGGAAAGAACACTTAAATTCAGAATATGGCGGAGGCATATAACTGGAAACAAAAATAAATAAAAATGATATCACAGGAACATAGTGAAGAAAAAGATTATAAGCTGGTAGCAAAGGCTAGTGAAGCTACCATGAGCAAACACAGACATAGAGTGAAGTACAAGGACAGTAAATGGGCACCTAGAAATGAATCAAAATTAGGAAAATTGTAGCAGAAGCCAGGGGAAGATACACCTACAAAGGCCTAGGACCAATCTGGTTTGACTAACGGGGATTGTTCTAGCTCTGTGGACCCAGATTGCTAATTAATCCTCTATTTTTTGTTAACTAGTAGAATCTTCCAAGTGTCCACTGAACATATGGACACAAATCTGTAGATTACACTTCCCTGAGTCCCTTGCAGCTTGCTATGGCTATGTAACTAAATTCCGGCTAATGAGATGTTTACTGAGGTCATGCATACACCTTCCTGCATACCTCAAACAGAAGCTGTTTGCTGTCCACTTCTTTTCTTTATCTATAAACTAAAATGTGAATGTTGTGATGCTGAACCATGTGGAAAAGGGTTATTCCCTAAAACATAATAGAGCTGCTAGAAAGACAACATGGGTCTCTGGATAAACTCATAGATCAGAACTATCCCACCTACCTGGTCTGCCTGCCAGGACAAATTTTTGTAGGAAAATGAAGTAAAGCCACTGAACTAATATCCCATCTCAGTCATTTTTTTCCTCTTTATTCTGGATATGTGTGTGTGTGTGTGTGTGTGTTAAAAGTGTCCAATACATCATTGACCATTTGAACAGCATTACTACAACTCAGATGACTTATATTACTTAAAATTAAGGGAAAAATCTTAGAAATGTGCAACTGCAACATTTTCTTCTGTAGTTGCAGCATATGCTTCATTTGTGAAGTTATACAGACTATTTAAAAACTATTATTATATCCAGTGTAATTGTGTCAGCATTGGTTTAGTTAATTAAAGTTAAGGAGGATAAAACATTCTATGAAACATTATCCATATGGTCTGCAACTACCCTTTGTTTTAATGGTGTAAGAACACCCATAGAGAGCAAGTAAAAGAAATTATTAGTGGATTACCAACTTTGTGATAAATCCAACAGAACCTGGCTATTGTGTGCTTCTGGGCTCCCCCTTTTGGTAACTGGCTGCTTGTATTCACATGCGGGCCAGGTATAGAGCTTCGCTTCTCTCCTCCTGTGGAGCCAGGATACTGGTTGGTACTCTTATTTGAGTTTAAAATTTCTTTCTTAGAACCAGATAAAACTACTAGTCGTTCAAAACCAAAGTGCCTATGCTGTCCTGAAACATTAATACCCTCTTCTTGGCCTGACTACTTCCCTATAAATGTCACCATGTTTTTGGATTTCAAAACATGAATTAAGTAACTGTCTGCCGCTGGATTCTGATTCTGTGATTATTCCTGATTGCCACTGTATTAATTTCCTATCATTGCCATAATGAATTACCTCAACCTGATTGGCTTAATTAATACAGATATAACTTATAGCTCTGTAGGTCAGAAATCTGACACGGTCTTACTAGGCTAAAATCAAAGTATCACTGGGGCCATATTCCTTTCTGGAGGTTCTGGAGGGGGAATCTAGTGTTTTTTTTCCTCATTCCAGCTTCTACAGGTTATCGTGTTTCTTGTCTTGTGGCCCCATTCTTCCATCTCCAAAGCCAGAATAGCCTTGCTATGTTCTGCTCACACTGCATTATTCTGACGTCCTCTCCTGTCTTTTTCTCCCACTTTTAAGGTCCCTTGTGATTGCTTTGGGTCCAGAAATCCAGGATCAGCTTCTATGTCAAGGTCAGCTGATTAGTAACCACAGTTCCATCTGCAGTCCTTTGCCATGTAAAGCAACACATTCGCAGTTCCCAGGAACTAGGATGTGGACATCTTTGTGGGGCCATTATTTAGCCTATCACAGCCACTTTTGAGCTAAGTAGATTAATTTTGGGGTTTCTGATTCTATAATAGCTAGATCGCTTTTTTAACTTGACCTTTCCCAGCACAGGGCAGAGGTTTAAGAGAGTGAACAACTGGGAATAAAAGCACATGAGAGGGTTAAAAATGAATCATCTTAAGAAAGCCATAGAACACATTTACTGCAAATTTCTCACTATGTCGAAAGGTCTGGGACCCTATGGGGAGGGGTAGGAGTTATCTTTGTGTCTCCATTTGAGCACATTAATACATCTCACTGAATTGCAAGGAGGTAAGATAAAGGGCATTCCAGAATAGTCTCTTCCAACAAAATTATCACAACAGGGGCCAGGTTCACTAGAGATACTATGAAGTCACCGTGCCATTCACAACCAATATTATCAATGTGGTAAGACCAACTGTCTTTCTGTCTTGAGTTTTTATGGCTTTTTTTTTTTTTTTGTCTAAAACTGGGCTTATCTCGGAGATAAAACAGCCCTGCAACCAAGTTCTTCTGCACTGTCAGTAACTAAGTCTTGAGTTGGTCCAGGAGAATTTCCTGCACTAAACCTTTTCCCTGCCCCAGAAAAGCCATATGGTCAGAAATTCCATTCCAGCTCATACTACTATTAGAGGCATTAGAATCAGACTCCACTCTACCCTTACCCCCCCAACAAAAAAATTGCAAAGCATAAATAGCAACAGCCAGCTTTATCCTGAATCACCTGTGAATCAGCAAGAAAGTAAAATACAGCTTCTCGGTATGCTAAATGAAAAGATTTGATTTTAAATTTATCAGTGTAGTGTGGGCACTCCAATTTCCCAAAGAGGTGTTGCATAGTTTTCCACATTTCTTATTTTTTTTCATTTGCATTACAGACCGGAAATCCTGCACTTCTCAGCTTGTTCTCTCAACTCTGTTGAGTGATTTTCCAGAAATGAATGGTTACTATTTCTAGAACTTAAGTCTCACAACCTGACTCCCTCTGAGTTCCAGAGTCCATAAAAAATAGCTGAAAACTGATGTGATTGCACACAATATGTTTAATATTGTAAAGTAAGAAAACTTTTTTCATAGGAATTGAAAATAACTTACAGAACAAAAGTAAACATTAAGTCTGACTTTACCTAGTAGAATAATACTTTTAAAAATATTCAATGTCTCAAATATTTTATTTAAGCTGAATAAAAGTAAAGACATCATTTTCCTAAATCTAATAGAGATTTCTAATACAAAATGCAATAGCCTTTATTTTTTCATTTAATTTCTCATGGTATTAGTTTTCACTGTAAATTCAAAACCCAATTATTATTTTCATAATGAGAATATATGAATGGGCACATGGTACTTAGAAAACAATTTACTAATACCTTGTGGATAAGCCTTCCCATTGTTATCTCCATGGTGGTCTATTAGCATTGTCAATTTCCTTTAGGTAATATCAGCACCAGGTCCCATATCTTCAAATTTAATTTTACAAAAGATTTTTTCAAATAACAATGTTAATATATTCCCTGAAGTAATTTACAGCCATATTTCCTCTTAAAAAGCCCTACAAAGCAATTCCTATGGAAACAAAAATGTACGTATGCCCAACTGCTATGACTTTTTATGCATGACTTGTGAATTTTGTTTTTTAGATTACTATATTTTACCTTTTCCCTATAATTCTCTGTAAGCAACACAACAGATTATAATGAGTATAATCAGATCTGTAGAATTATTGAATTCCTCAAATACTGTTCTTTTGGAACTGTTTGTTTAGTGACATCCCAAATACCTGCTCTATGCTTCATCTTGGGTTGTTCCCAGCATAAAGATGAGCTGTTAGATACTTAGTACATTTATTTATGACATGCATGTTGGTTTCCTGTGGCTGCTGTAAGAAGTTACCACAAAATAGGTGGCTTAAAACAAAGGAAATTTATTCTCACACAGTTTTGGAGGCCAGAGTCTGAAATCAAAATGTTGCAGGGCTGCGCTTCCTCCCCCCAAAAATGGAGAATCTGTTCTTTGCCTCTTCCAACTTCTGGCAGCTGTTGGCATTGTTTGACTTGTGACCATTTCACTCTAACCTTTGCCTCTGTGGTCACATTGCCTCCTTCTTGTGTCTTGTCTTCTGTCTGTTCAAATCTACCTCTGTATTTCTCTTAGAAACACACTTGTCATTGGATTGAGAGCTTTCCAGGATTGCTCAGTGTGACCTCTTCATGTCAAGAGTCTTAATCACATCTGCAAAGATTCATCTTCCAAAATAAGATAATAGTCACAGATTCCAGAGATTTGGCATGGATATCTTTTGGGGCACCATTTTTTGGCCTACCACAGCAAGACATTTAAAACTGTTTTGCTTGAAATCTAGTTCTTCTGCCTTATAACACCATTGTTCTCTCAGCATATTTAATTTGAAGAGCTAGAAATAATTCTAGAACATTTTGTGCAGATAGGCACTACTTAGATATCTTAAGAAGCTTGTTCTAATCAAGTTTGGAAAAGTATTTTACTCCAGGAGTTGAAATAAATCACCCACAAAATGAAAAAACAAAGACATACTTGTACAAAAAAGTGACAAGTGACAATTGTCTGTCTTTGTATAATTGACTTTGTCACACTGAGAACAGAGGCTGGCAAAGAGCAGCCACTGAAAAAAGGATGTGTTGATTTGTTAAAATAATGAATAGAAGGAATAAACTAGACTTTGACTTCTGCAGTCTCACCACTGTTAGTCTTTATGCTCTCTGGTTATGGTTCCTCTTATCCCAGAAATGTCGATTGCAAATTAAACAGGCTACAAAAGTCTTTATGAACTGAAAACATTTAAAAATGTTTAACTTTCTCATGAAATGTAAATGGCTAATATTTATCAAATATTTATTGTGTGCTAAGGCTCTCTGGACCTGAACATAAACATCTTAAATTACAATATTAATATTACACAACCATAGAAGGTAACCTATCTTCATAGTTAAGTGCACTTTAATGAACTCTCCAATTGCTCTGTAAGATATATGGAATGAAGTTCAGAGCTTGCCGAGGCCTGCTGACAAGTGGATTAACTCCTAGTAAGACTGTATGATTCTGCGCCGAGTAGTTGTCTGTTTACTAAAAGTCAGTAGATGTTTCCAAACCTGTTTATGCTAATTATCTTTGTTATTGTAATTGATGTAATTTAAGAACTGTTATATAGAATGACTAATATGATTACCAAAAGTGGATTGTTGTTATTTCTATGAAAATTAAGTTGAGAGCTTTGAAAGATTTGAGACATAAATGTTGCTGAAAATTTTTTTTTTTTTTTTTTTTTTTTGAGAGAGAGTTTCACTCTTGTTGCCCAGGCTGGAGCGCAATGGCACAATCTCGGCTCACTGCAACACCTGCCTCCCAGGTTCAAGTGATTCTCCTGCCTCAGCCTCCCGAGTAGCTGGGTTTACAGGTGTCTGCCACCACGCCCAGCTAATTTTTGTGTTTTCAGTAGAGGCAGGGTTTCATCATGTTGGCCAGGCTCGTCTCAAACTCCTAACCGTGGGTGATCCACCCACCTCGGCCTCCCAAAGTGCTGGGATTACAGGCGTGAGTCACCATGCCCGGCTTAAAAAAATTATCGAATTAGATTTAGGTAAGACAATTGTAATAGACTAGGAAAAGTTATAAAATTATTAAAGGACTCGGTACTTATTGTATCTTTGTGTTCTCACTCCATTTTAAAGAAACCAAAAATGAATTAGAGATGATACATTTTGAGCCTGTTTTATACAAGAAAGACAATATGACACTAACTAGGGCATCCATATGCAAAAGATGGGTCAAGGGTTATGTGTTTGAAGCTAAATAAAATAAGACTAAAAGGTGTATGATTTTTATTATTCCCTACTGTGATTGAATTCAAGTAGTCAACCTATGATCAGTTTTGATCATATCACATAAGAAGGTTTATAATATTATATATGTCTAACATGTGATCTCACCTTCATGTGGAATCTAGTAATGTTGAACTCATACAAGCCGAGTAGAATAGTGGTTACTCCAGGGACTGGGAGGTAGGGAAAATGGGGAGATGTTGGTCAAGGGCACAATCTTGCAGTTATGGGATGAATAAGTTCTGGAGACCTAATGTACAGTGTGATGATTGTGGTTAATATATACTATATTTGGACTTGACTTATATGATAGTTTTAGTTTGAATTTAAGGTTCATCATTTACAAAATTCCAATAGACTTCAGCTGGGTACTATGGAAAGAGTGCCCAATTTACAGAAAGTAAAAAAGTCAATACAATTTTTACATATGATATATGTCTAGCATTGCACTAGATATCATATGAAAATACCAATATAGTATAAGTCATGTTTCATGCTCTCAAGGAATTAGAATTTGGTTGAGGGTAAGACCAAAACAACAATAACAAAAATAATAATCAATACATAGGATGTAAAAGTCTCAGGTATATTTTGTAAATACATAAAAAGAATGTATAAGGAAGGATTTATGTGGGCTGTTAGAATCAAACAAAGTTTCCAAAAGGAGACTGGCTTTGAACTGGACATGGAAAAAGGAAGATTTGGAAAGTTAGGGAAGACAGTTGGAGCTAATTCTAAAGACTGTGAATGCAGATCTTATGGGCTGCAGATGTTCACTTCCTTCTAGGAAGGTTTCAGTGGTGGGTGAGAGTTGACAGAATACAAAAGTGGAGGGAGAAAAGAAGCTTATAGGTGTGCACAGGAAAATCTCCCTAAAACAAGAGAAAGTCATAAGTATAAAAAAGGGAACATATTAGGAAGGAATTATCTTGATTAGAAAAACAACCACCCCCCAAAAAAAGGACAGAAATAATACTGAACCATACTAGGGATTGCATTGGACAGAGCCTTAATGTATGTACATGATCTAAGAGTAAAGACTGAAAAGTTGGAGTCACAGTAGGACGCATTTAGAAAGGATTCCTTTATGAGCTTAGAGCAATAACATTTATAGTGCTTTTTTATATCCCTTTAGGATGACTCCTGTACGCTTCCAGAATTAATCCTATCTCTCTCTTTGCCTTCCTTTGCTTCTCCCAGCTCTCCGTATTTTTAAATTAACCTAAAAAGTCTATTATTTCCTTTAAGAATGACCTCAACTGCATCATGAATCTTAAGTCTTCATTGGATAAAATGCCTAAGAAAGGAGAAGATTCAGCACCTAGTAGTTATATAAATGGTTGCATGAATGCAACCTAGGAAGTTAAAATTAGAAAATCCAGAAAGAAGGGAGGGCAATTCGCTAAATTGCTACATTTCTCTCTGTGAAGTCACTACCACTGATGTTTGGTGATCTAGTTTTTCTATAATCTTCTGGAATAAGATCATAAGCCTGCCTTTCCTGAACCTAAGTGCCCTGAATTTGGATTTATGACCAATTGTTTCAGAGTGTTAACATGAATCACAGTGCTTCAGTGGGACAAGAGAAGAAAAGCAATTTCAATACTGAAAAATAACAAAATGAAATAAAATATAGACCAAGAATGGAAAATAAATGGATAGTTAAATACAAGTATATGTAACCCAACTAAGCAACAACTTAAGGATTATGGGATAATAATCACCAAATATTTGAAGAATCTAAATAACAAAGTAGAAAACAAATTAGTTGGCTTGAAGGATAGTGTTATGGTTAATTAACATGGAAAGAAATGAGCAAAGAAAACGCTTCCTTTCCACTAGCTACGGACCAGAAAAAAGCTTTAGGTTCATTCAAAGACTAGATTATGAGATTACATACAAAGAAAACTCATAGGAAGCTTTTTAGAGAGACCTGTAAAAATGTGGCTTATGAGCATCTTGGAGGCAGACTGGCATCTCACCAGACATGGCCCAGAGGAAATGTGGAGCCCTGAACGTAGGTACCTGGCATGGGTAGGCACTTAAGACTCACTTGTTTATTTTAAGAAATGGTTATATTAGTTACGAAGAAGAAAGCGTATATAGGCATTGCTATTGTGTGAATGTTTGTGTCCTCTCAAAATTCTTGTTGAAATCCTAACCCCCAAGGTGATAGTGTTAGGAGGTGGGGCCTTTAGGGATTGATTAGATCATGAGGGCAGATCCCTCATGAATGGGACTAGTCCCCTTAAAAAAGAGGCCAGGAGAGAAGGGGCTTGTTTGCCCCCTTCCACCATTGAGGATGCAAAGGGAAAGCACCACTTATGAACCAGAGAGTGAGCCCTCACCAGACGCCAAATCTGCTGGGTCCTTGATCATGAACTTCACAGCCTCTAGAAATCTAAGAAATCAAGTTTCATTGCTTAAAAGCTACTTGGTTTAGTGTATTTCATCGTAGCAGCCTGAGTGGACTCAGATAGGCATCTGTCTTTCCTCAATCTATCCACAGCTTCCCCTGCTTGTCTCAGTGCAATATTTATCCGAACTGAAATTGCTTATGGGTATCTGCCTCTTCCCTCCCTCTCATGCCACTGTGTAAACTCCTGGCATGGGGATCTTTCCTGGGGTGTCCAGGCACTGTACATCCTAGTGCCTGACATCTTGTGAAACTCAATGATGGAAGACTAACTTTCCTGCTTTGAAGGATGTGAAAAACAAACGCCTGACACGAGAACTTGGATGTTAAGCACAAAAGTTTTGACAAGAGACCTTGCTCTGCCACAGTTTATGCAGCTGTAACATCAATATAACAATGGTGCCTATATCACAGGAGTTGTGTGAGGCTTAAATGTAGTGCATGTAATGTGCTTAGCACTTTGCCTGGCTTGGAGTAGCTGGTCATTAATTGTTAGCTCATTACTATTTATTATCGATGCACAAAATTTATGGTCAAACCACAAACATAATCAAAACATTTGGTCCAACATATCCTCTCTAAAAGCCAATAGAAATTATAATATGGTCAGTCTAGTTGGCTCTGATATTTCAGATGACTGATAATATTTTTTCTGCTTGTATTATTGCAGGAAACTTGGAAATTTACATCTCAAAATATGAGGTTTTGGGGCTGTGGATGTATAATTGCCACCTCCTTCAATTTGCTTGGTGAGGTTAAATTTTGGAAAGACTGGGTGAGCCATACTCTTCCTCTCCATTCTCCACTTGAACCAAGTTTAAAAATTTTTTATTGTTCCTACTTCACCAAAATAAAAATGCCAATTAATGGGATTTGTCCATAATGAGCTTTGGATTTAATCCTCCTACAACCCTAATGCTTAGAGAGAGGGAATTTTTAAACTTCAAAATTTTGTGGCTCTAAGCACCAGATGGACACTTAGAGGTTCCAGAAAGACTCAACACAATAAAGAAATTTGGCTGTATTTTCACTTTTAAGAAGTATTTGTTCGACTTTTTGGTAAAGAACAGCTTAAAAATAGTTGTAACATATAATTTGTGTTACTTTTCATAAACATAATGATTTTCAGTGAAAATAACTTGTAGTCAGTTGCTTTCGGGGTATCCCCTTCATCTTTTCCCTGAGATTCTGAAAACTATTTCATATGGGCATGATAATAATCTACTATTGCCTAAACCTAAGTGTGTCCTGAGGGTCATTACTATAAATTACAAGAGATTCCCATCCACTCATATTACATATAATGGGAGGAATGTCATTAAAATTCACTTAGTTCTCAGATTGACTCAGTACAGGCCTAAACGAACTGTCAAACAACTCTAAAAATAAAATATAATGACTTGATGTGTAGACAATCGTACTAGCACTGAATAATCTCCATTTGCAATAGTTATCCGGTTCTATGACCAATTTTTATTCTCATAGTATTATTCCCTTCGAATATTTCTATGTTCATCTGTGTTCACACAAATTAATGGTTGTTTTTTTGAGATGGAGTCTTGCTCTGTCACCCAGGCTAAAGTGCAGTAGTGGATCTCGGCTCACTGTAGCCTCTGCCTCCTGTGTTCAAGAGATTCTCCAGAGCAGTTGAAACTATAGGTGCATGCCACCATGCCCAGCTAATTTTTTAAATTATTTTATTTTTGGTAGTGACAGGGTTCTACCATCTTGGCCAGGCTGGTCTGAAACTCCTGACCTCAAGTGATCTGTCCGCCTTGGCCTCCCAAAGTGCTGGGATTAGACATGAGCAACCACATCCAGCCAGATTAATGAATATTAAATTGTAATGATCAGATTAGAGAATTATCTAATAATTTAAGAATGCAGATGTACTTTAAATGCCATTTGGTTATACTAAAAATGTTTTGAATAATTTAAAACAATCATTCACAATTTAGATGACTTATAGTTACACCAAAACACTGGGGTAGAATATGTGATAGATGCTTAGAGTTACAATTTGAATCTGGGAAAATAACTTCTAATGATACTTTCTGTGTAGTATCACTCAACCAAACACAATTAACATATTAAATAACCTCTGTTGGGAATTATTAAAGTTTTCACAAATAATTTTTTAATATAGATAATTTCTGACTGCTTCATCTTGATGTAAGTTAAATAATTTTTTTATCTTGCCCACATCCCCAATCACCATTTATAATTTTTTGTTTATGTGAAAATATGCCCTTTATTCAAAAAAATTGACTAATAGCAAACTTTGGGAATACAATTTAGCCTGGAGAAGAAAAGATGTAGGTAGAATTTATTAGCTGTTGAATTATTTGGATGACTATTATTTGGAAAACAATGTATTAGAAATGACTATTTCCAAAGGTAGATATTTGAACCATGGAAGTAGATATAAGAGATAAATTTCTTAGCAAAAAAAAAAATTTTCCAACAGGCACAGCTGACCAGAAGTAGACTGGCTGCTTTGGATGAGAGTAGCTTTCCTGTTAAAGAGAGTTCTTAAGAATAGGCCAGATAGCCACTCAAGAAGAAAGGTTTGGAGGGAATCCAAGTCTGGAAAGAATGTTTAGACATAGCTGCTAACGTTTTGTCAGTTTGTAGTTGCCAAAAATAAGAGTGGAGATTGACAGTGGATTTTTTCAACTCAACTACCAGTTTCTTTCATTAACATAGCATGGCACTTCTTTCTGTAGTAACACATCACCAAATTTGAGAAGAGGGACATCTGGTGGATGAAATAAGCAAAAGGAAAGGGGTTTTGTTTTTACATTATAATTTACAACATATTTTGACATTTCCATTGATTTTTCCATGAAAAGAAAATCTATCAGTCTACAAAAATATGTGGTTGACAATGGGCAAAAATTATTTGTGACCAAGTGATTTGGGTATGGTGATCGTTTCATCTGGCCCCTTACTATATGTTTAATAAATGCCTTTTTAGTCATTTTTCCTTAATTAATTCAAATTAGGATATTTGAGGATGAACTTGCTTGTCTTAATAAAACATAAACATGTGACTTTCTTGGCCAAGTAAGAGCTGTTATTTTTAGCTAAATTACTCAGTAGACGGAATGACAAACAAAAACCAAAAGACATCCAATTGCCTAAACTATAAATGCAATTGTTTTTAGTCTTTACAAAAATATTCATTTCAGTTTTTCTATTCTAATAAAATCAAAATTAATTTGAACTTAGACATTTAAATGTAGTGATACATTTCTCTATTTAAAAAAAAGTAATTTTCTGGCTGGGCATGGTGGCTCACCTCTGTAATCCCAGCACTTTGGGAGGCCGAGGTGGGCAGATCACCTGAGGTCAGGAGTTTGAGACCAGCCTGGCCAAAGTGGTAAAACCCTGTTGCTACTAAAAATGCAAAAATTAGCTGGGTGTGGTGGCGGGCGCCTATAGTCCTAGCTACTCGGGAGGCTGAGGGAGAATTGCTTGAACCCAGGAGACAGAGGTTGCAGTGAGCTGAGATCATGCCACTGCACTCCAGCCTGGGCAACAAAGCGAGATTCCATCTCAGAAAAAAAAAAATAAAAGGTAATTTTGTATCTATTTCCAGAAAGATCAATAGGGCAGCAATTTAAAGCAAGGTTGCTTGAAATAATAAGCTGAATCCAACTCTACTAACTAAAATGACTACCTACCTCATTAGTGATGTTTTCCCATCACCGATTTCTATATCTAAATCACAAATAAGTATTGGAAGCATCATTCTTGAAAGCAGAGCTATTATTTTATTCTTTATATCCTGAATACAATATATTGTAGGCACTTAAATATTTGGTGGATGAATCTCTTCAAATCCATTGTGACCGGGAATAATTTCACCCTTCCTTGAAAACCCAGACCTCTCTCTGTGCCTCTCGACGCTTTTGGGGAATACGAAATTGATGTACCTTTCACTCTCGCATTTTACTCAGTGCCAGGCCCAATGCAGAAAACAGAAGCATTTTGCAAGTTCCTTTTCTTCTTCAGACCTAGCTATAAGGAAGATGCTGTCCCTACATTGCTTTGCACACAATACAACCTCAGTACATCTTTTGTTGAATACATGAATGAGTTAATAAATTGCTAACTCTTCTGAGTGTTTCTCCTGTTTTTTTTTCCTCATTCTCTTCCCTTTTACTTCAGTCTCATATACTATGATTTCATAAATAAGCCAACATTTGTTGGGTATTCATTATATTTAGGTATTGTTCTAAATATGTTATACATAAGTCATTTGATTTAATTCTCATGATAACCCTATGAGGTAAACTTAAAAAAATACTTATTTTTTAAAAAAGAAAACTAACGTTAGGTAATTTGCCCAAAGTGACAGGGCTAGTAAGAGTCAAAGCCAGAATTTGGACCCAGTTAGTTTCTGATTTCAGAGATAGGTCTCTTAAATATTGCATTTATCCTGACTCTAATAATGACCCTCTGGTAAAATACCCAGACACACAGACAAAAATAAGTGAGAATGAGAATCCATATTCCAATGTCTTCACAGAAGATGATGGAATATTCTAAAAGACAAACCAAGAGATGGGAAAAGTGTCCAAAGTCCTATATGGAAAAATCAGAAAAACGTTTTGGGTAGAGGTTAAGAGCACAGCCTAGGGAAGGAGTCTGGGTTCATATCCTGACCCCATTACTTACTAGATATGGCACTTTCTTACTAGATATGGCAACCTCTTTCACTGCCTATCTCTCCTTGTTTCTGCAATCTGAAAACAGAGAGAATAAGAGAATCCACTCTGTAGGTGTTTTGTGAAGGTTAAAGAAGTTAACATGTATAAGGCATTTATGAAAATGAATGGCACACAATACTTGCTAGTATTTCTATCATCACAGTTCATCATATTGAAGACATACTCCATTATAAAATGATCTATTTTCTATATGACTCTAATAAAAAATGCCTATTGTAAATGCAAGAAGCCATTGATGTTTAGATGTATCCTGATGTCAGAGATATTGAAATGTGAAAAGAAGTACACGCTGGAATTATGTGCAGAATAGACAAGAAAGAAAAAGCCAGCTGGCAGAATTAAATGTTTTCATACATTAACAATTTCATTTTTTTCAATTCTCTTTTTTACTTTCTTTTCATTATTTTTTCAAATATTTTGTATCTAATCATGAGGTTTCAGTACCATGGTTCTGGGAAAACTACTCATGTTTAGGCTTTAAAGTTAGCTGTGGTACTAAATCCTTCGATGAAAGACAGAATGCCCTGGAAGGAAGGCAGACAGTGTATGAGTGCATGAGTGGGTGAAGGGAAGGGAGCTGAAGGGTGTGCAGGAAATGAAATTTACCTGATGAGACCAGATGCTTTAAAAATTTTTTTCAAGTCAAAATCCAAAGTCACTTGGCAAATACGAGAACTAGGAAGATGTAAAGGGTTGGAAAAATGAATCAGGGACAAATCAATTATTCAAATTATTCATTCAACAATTGTTAAATTAAACACCAATGTCAACTCAACTGGCTTTGCATGCTATATGAAAGAAATTAAAAAATAAGAAAAGATTACAAAAGAAAAATATCTAAGAGAAAATTGACATTAAATTGCATTACAAATGGCATAGTTAACTGCAACTATGACCTAGTTTCTGCAGTGGTAGCATGCTGTTTTCCTGATTAATACTGTATTACTTCTTTTTATACCCTGATTATTATCAAAGTAATCAGCACTGAGCAAACAGCAATCGAATCCCTTCTCAGGAGAGGCTGATTCTCTACTGATGTTAAGCTAAGCCCCTTCATGGAGCTTAAATCAGCCCCTGAGGAGCCACCAGATGGATTGTGAGAATTTAGAAGAGGCAGTATTAGTGTGGAATAGTGGAATAGACAACAGAAAAGGAGTTCAAGTAATTGAGTTCAAGGATCACCTTTGTAACAAACTAGCAGTGTGACATTGTGCAAATTATTTACTTTTTTTGGACTTCTACATACTTGCTCATATTGAGGACTTTACATTTTCTCCCCCCTTCTATTCTTTAATTTTCTGATATTGCGTTTAACATGATGAGACAGGCAGGAAAGGAGCTGCTGTCAGACACTGGGCTTGGTGTGCATGCCTTATGATTTACGGGCAGGATCTTGGGGCTTTCAAAAGAAGTTCTGTCCTCATGGGAGATTACCGTGGCAAATTTCTATCTTATGTTCCTTACAATAATCATGACTACCGTTCACGGGCCAGGGGCCGCCACACTTTATCTCATTTATTCCTCACTACAATCCTCTGAGGCAAGTGTTAGGACTTTTATTTTATGGAGGAGAAACAGGAACACAAAAGAGATTATCATTATAATAATGAGGAGAATAATTATTTGTGTTTACTCTGTGCAATTACTGTGCTAAGGGCTTCTCATATATTAATTCTCTCCATCCTTACATCCACATTTTAAGAAAGGTTCTGCTATAATTACCAGCCTTACGGCATCTAATAATTAAATAATCTGTTCATGTCATCACATGGCTGGTAGTGGGAAAACAGGATTCAAATGTAAACAGCTAGATTGCAGAATCCAGTACTTGACCATTACACATTCTGCATTAAAACTACATAAGGTCGCACAACTAATATGAAGAAAAATAGAAATCCAAATTTGACTCCAAAGCATGGACATTTGCTTAATGGACATTGCTTAATGGTTATTAAGCAATACTGCCTTTGGCCCTTGCCCAACCATATGTTGTCTTCCTTTGGATTTTCTGTGGTTTCTGGCCTTTCCACTCAATATTGCTCAATCTTGGTCTCGGACTTGATATGTAACATTGGCCTGACCGCAAATATGCTTTTGCTTCTTGTACCAAGCCCTGGGGTCCTATTGTGCCTATCCCAGGACATGGACCCATCTCTGGTCACTACTTCTTACTTGGCTCTGGCAGCTCTAGGGCCCCAAGCTTTGCTATAGGACCCAAGTCAGCCAGCCATGTCCCCGCTCCGCCTCCCGCAAAATGAAAAACACTGGTCACATATGTTTGTGAAAAAACTTACTATAGATCAATAAGTGGGAAAGATAAGGAGATTAAATGCCAAGTGGCGAGTTGTTTCTACCTTACTCTTACTGTACATCAAAAAGTGGGACATACAGAAAAGGTCGTAGATGTGTGTTTGTGACTCAACAACAAATCTCTGAGAATCAAGTAGCTACAATATCATCATTATTATCATTATTACCAGATTTAGAATAGTGTTCTATCAAACCTTAACACTTACAAACATCCAAATCATGTCCCTTCTTTCCCATTCTAAAATTGCATGCCAGCAAGGAATAACCTAATTATTTCAAAGGCATATATTGAAGAAAGGATAACTTTCTCTCCCCTTTTCTTTCCATGACCACCAACAGTCCCCTAGTTTGAATGCTAAGAGTTTTTTGGGAATCACATTCAACTTCTGTGTGTCACTGAGCAATATTAAGGGCTGGCAAAGAAGAGCAAAATTTCTAAGAAGGAAAACGCAGAGCAAAGCCAGCTGTTCCTGCCAATGTACTAATTTACATTTTTGCAAAATCAAAGCACCACAACGAGACACACTGCATTCAGTCGACTTCATGAGGTCACTCTATGCCATGTGCCCTTTTCAACTTTGTGACTGAAGCAGTAGGCACATCTTCATAAGGCTCTCAGAGTCTTCTGTGTCCAAAGAGGTGTATGCTTAGTGTTGCACATGCAAACATGGCATTCTCAGTTCATTTACTCCAAGGCTCCTTAGCTCTCTTTTCATTTAGAAAAACTATTCTTTGACCTCCTCTGATGCTAATGATCTATTTTCTGTTTCCTTTCATGGATCACACAAAAGTTGAAATTGCATCCAGGCACCAGAGGGTAGAGGCTGGCTCTGGATCTAGACAGCCTGGGTCTGAATCTAGCTCTGCCATCCACAAACTGTGTGACTGGGCAATGTCCTTAATTCTCAGTCCTTTGATTTCCTCATTTGGGAACAATGAAATAGTACTTACTAGGAAGAGTTGTTTACCTGTTAAGCGTTTGTTGTGAGGGTTAAATGTACTAACATTTGTAAAATGTTGAAGACAGTGCTTGGTACATAGAAGATGCTTGATAAATATTAGCTGCTATTTTTACCCAATGTGGTATATTAATATCGGCAGGCAGGGGTTGCAAACTCAAATATCTTCTAGGGTCAGAAATGTAAACAAATGACATAATAGGGTCCACAGCAATTTGAAGAGTGCATAGTTTGCCTAAAGTCTTCCAAATTCTAAGTGCTTTTTAAAGCACTGTGAAATCCAAACCAAACACATCTGCTGCTGAATTTAGTCTGGTGCAGAGAAATGTGGGCTAGGAGAATTCTTCCATGAATGGTACAATAAATATTCTAGCTCTCTTTGCAGAATTAAGGAATTTCAGTTTATCCTTGTTTTTTAAGAAAATTACTGCGATGGATGTTTTACATCCAAGAAGACGGAACCATGCAGAATTGAAGCTTAGACATAAACCCAAAAGGAATAGTTATCATATGGGGTGAGTGAAAGGATTTGCTGGTGTCAATAACCAGAGCTGGCAGCTCCAGCCTCAGCTAGGGCAGCAGGGAAGCCTGTTAAGGAAAAGCACTTGGGAAATGAAGAACTCCCACAACATCCATGGTCTTGAGACTGACTAGGGCCAAGAGCAGCATTGTAGGAATGCAAACTGAGCTGTACTTGTCCTGTACATAGAAATACCAAGGAGGCTACAAGGATAGAAAGAAGAAATGAGTTTAGCAGCCAGAAGTCCTAAATTCCAGCTCCAGGATCACCACACAGAAACTGCCAACCTTGAGCAAGCTTCCTAGCTTCTTAGACCTATGCCATATATAAAAAGATGATCATTTTTGTTCTGACTACCTCACTGAGATACTTTGAATACTGAATAAAAATGGCATGTGAAAACTGTTCAGAAACTTTAGCATACTATGTGAAGAAAAGTTATTCGTTTTTAAGGCTTTTAGGCCAAATTGCATTTAAACAACAAAGCACTGCTTGAAAACCTGCATATAACAACAATGTTTTGCAACATCCCCATGCCCTATTTACACTGGGAATTTGCGATACAATTGAAGCTATTATAGGTAGTTGGAGACAATCTTCTGAAGTTGCTCCTAATGGAATGAAATCTGTGCACTTTAGTAAATAGAAGAAAATTGTCACCCAAAACCCACAGCATTTTTTTACTCCACAATATTTTTTTCCTCCTATATCTCTTCAAGGACTGTTTTAGAATAACTTAGAAGATATACTAACTTTAAATTAAAAAAAAATCTTCAGGACTCAATTCACTCACTCACTCTCACTCATGTATTCATTCAGATACAAATATTATCAGGCACTTAAATGCCATCCACTACACCAAGCTCTGGAAATATACTGATGAAAAGATATAACCCCTGCATCTAATTAATGTTGTCTATGGTGGGGAGAAAGACATTCCAACTACAGGACAATGGTACTGGCTACAGTGAAGGTGTGTGAAACAAGTAATGGGAGAATTGAGGAAAATCATCTAATCTGTCTGGGATGTGAGAATGCCAGGCTGGCAGATGCAGTGGCAGATACACAAGGGCAAGTCAGAATGAGCATGGTGACTTCTATGCCAGTAGTTCAGGTCAAATGGAGCACAGAGAAGAAAAGTGAGACCAGAGGGCAATGACATTGAACATATTTTCAGGGGTAAGATGTTGAAGGCTCTCTGGGACACAGAAAGCAACATGTGAACTATTTGATAGTGAACCATTATAGAATATGAGTAATATAATGATATTTGTCTGTGAAAATCACTTCGGAGATAACAGAGGTCACACCTAGAGCTAGGGATGTCAACTTGGAGGACACTGTGCTAAACAGGGCAGGAAATTATTAGTCCTTAATTATTGCAATTGCAGTTATGATGGCGAAGAGTATATCAGTTAGAATTATTTAGGGTTGGTGTTTGATTTGACTTAGAAAGCAAGGATAGAGAGGGAGGCAGGAAGAGAGAGAGAGAGAGAGGTGAGGAGTGGAGTGGGGGAGAGAGGGGGAGAGAGAGAGAGAGAGAATCTACTGTCACTTGGTACTCTATATGCCTATATGCTTTAGGCAATTGGGTAGATATATTTACCAATACAGGAAATAACAGAAGAGAAGATGTGGACAAATATGTGTGATTTGATTTTTAAATGACTAAATTTGAGTTACCTGTGTAGCATCTAAAGGCAAATGTCTATGAAATGGTCAAATGACCAAATGATTATTAATGGTGTTTGGTTCTGGAGCTCTAGAGAGGAGTCTATTTGGAGATATAGGTTTTGGGAATCATCAGTAAATACATATTTGATATCCTGGATGAAAATGATGTTGACTAGAGAGAATACATACAGTCAAAATAAAGGAGCTGGGACACACCTCTGAGGAACACCAGAATTTTGGAAAGCTGAGAAAGAACAGACAGAGTAGTAGTAGGAAAGGCCGGAGAATATAGTGCCATGAAGAAGGGAGGAGTCAACAGTGTCAAAATCTCCAGCTACACAAGAAGCGAACATTTAACTGTCAATTAGGTCATGGGGACCATTATGATACTGTTTCATTGGAGTGATGGAGGTGAATCCATACTGTAGTGGATTAATGGAAACTGAGAAAGTAGAGAATGAGGATAGACTACTCTTTCAAGGTGCCTGACTTTGAGGCTGTATAATAGAATATAAAGTTTTTAGTGATTATTTTAGCTTGCACAAAATTAGAAAGTATAAAATGTAGTAAAATGTTAACATATTTGCAGGGTGAATGTTGGCAGTGATGGTAGAACAAGAAAATGACCCATAAAACTGGCAAATAAATTGGTTAGACTTTTAAAATCTATATAGAGTGAATATGGTTGGCTGCTTGTAAGATTGTCTATGAATGCGATGGGGAATTTGGAAACACATAAAAGCCTAATTGAGGTGACAAAGTTTACCCTAGGGAGACAGGAGAAGAATATATGCATAACTTAGAAGGCAAGAACATAACTCAATTATATTGTTTTTGACAATATACTGCAAGGCAAAAGTCAGGCTGGGGCAAGAAGAGGAACCTATAAGCCAGAAGTTGGGGCATTTCTCTAGGGATGTGGCAGCCATGGGGTTGTGCTGCTCAGATCTCCCTTCAAGAAAGGACTTGTTGCTGATGATCTCCAGCTGCTGCATCTTCAAGATGTGCCCCAGTTTCTTGACATTATATTCTCTCTGCACCACTCTAGCCAATGACTGAGTAGATCAGGGGCACTAGAGACAGGCCATTCCTGTCCATTGAGAGATTCCGCTTATGGCCAGTTTTTGCTCTTTGGTTCCTCATCAGTCTGGCTACACTGCAGTGTGAGGCTCTTCTTAATTGATTCTTTCTTTTTTCCCTCTCTCCTTTCAAAAGTGTCAGACCAGCATCATGGTCCAATGACTCTTCCCACCTATTTCTGCTCCCTTTCCCCACTTTCCTTCTCAAGAATTTCCTCCAATAAATCTCTTGCCCATCTATTTCCATCTTGGACTCTGTCTTGTAGGATGGACACTGACACAGGATAGATGCAGAAGTTTTAAATTGTCAGGGCATAACTTTTCCAATCATAAGAGAAGTGTGATCTACCTAAGTCAGGGATCACTTAGCACATCCCATTGTAGCAGTGGAATGTTTCTCTTGAAGGTCCTACCTCCCTTTATTCTGATCCACCCAAGATCATGCCTTTTGTGGAGAGAAAACTATCAGGTTTCCTATTAGAGTTTGGGCACTTTATCCTCTATTTGATAGTCTTATTTTCTTCTTCTCTGCATTTCAAGTAACTCTCTCCCATGATCTATTATTCTATTTTCTATTATTTCAATCATTTTCTTTTCAATATCTTCAGCACCTTGCCCCATGACCTTTCATCCCATCCACCTAGATGAAGCCGAGTGTCCAACTGCTTACCTTCTCCATATCTTTATAAAGGCTACTCAATGTTGCTGGAGAGAATATTTAAATTGGTGCCATTCTAAGTCCATAATGAGTTTTAGCTGGCAACTGCTTATATATTCGGTTGAGTCCTGATAACTGCCTATACTTCTAGATATGCTTTGTAGGCATTTTGAACACAATGTATCTAAACTTCATCTGATTTTCTTCTAGCATTTCGCCCTTTTTTTTTTTTTACATTGGCTCTAACAGGAAGGGATCTTGTATTTCTTATTTAAATAAATGGCACCAAAGGCTTGAGCATTGGTTTCTTAAGCACCAGTTCTTCATACCAGGACATCCAATCTGTTGCCAACTTCTGCCAGTTCTGACATCTAAATAGATTTTAACTCTATATTAGCCTTCGTGAATTCTTTAAAATTCAGTGGAAATAAACAGATGAATGACTGGTTGTTAAGGGGAGAAGAGAATAAGATATAGAATCACGTATGCCAATGTTTGTCAACTCTAGCTGTGAGTTAGAATCAGTAGAGTAGCTTTAAACAATATCAGTACTTGGGCTGCACCCCTCAAAGATATTATTCCCCTTCATCTGAGTTGGGCCTCCAGGTTTCTGTTCAGCAATCTCCAGGTGATTCTAATATGTATCCAGGGTTGACAACTACTGACATAGAGTCCAAAGAGAAGTTGTTTGTTGTTAATTGTATCATCGTTTTATGATAAAAGCACGTTTATGTACTGAGAGAAAAATGCTAATGAAGAAGGTTGAAGATTCTCAGGGAGGGGGGTAATTGATGGAGCTAGTGAGGGTATAAGATTTATAATGAATAGAATAGTCATTTCTCTGGCACTCTGGGGAAGGAGGAAAGGAAATATACAGATCTAGAGATGTTTATAGATTTGAGAAGCAGGAAAGGAATTGGAGTGAGTTTCTTTGTGATGTCTTTTACTGTTTTCCAAGAAATAGGCAACAAATATATCAGCTGAGAGGGAGGCTGAAAACTCATTACACCAAGATCCTGGCACTGGGTAAACACGGACTTCTGTGGAAATCTTTTCTCCCAAATAATTTATCATTCTAATGGAAAAATAACTCATATGTTTCTGCCCCTCCCCAAACAGGTATTACAGTGATAACCACAAACCAAGTGCTCAAAAAACATTTTGATTGATCTCAACTCATAGCTTATTTTTTCCTTTTCTGTTATTGAAATAATTCTCCTTTATTTTTTCTTCCTTATCCTAAAAGCTTTTTATTATGTACCCACTCCAAGTCATTGCTTTTTTCCCCCTCCTCAGGGGTTAAGTTTAAACTCTTCCCTTTCATAAAGCTCACAGGTCTTCGCTTTCACAAAATCCACACTGGGATACTTTCTGGCAAAAGGATACAGTGACAGTTTTCAGTACTACAGATACATCTCTTTTGGATTCCACAAGGCAGCATATCATTTTGTGTGTGAACATCACTTTTAATAGAGTCAAACTAAGGAAATGAATGCATAAGTACATACATCTTGTGTAAAATATATTTTCAGTTTTTCAACACAATGACAAGCACATATGAACATACTCCTTTAAGAAATACTTTCTTAAATGAAATTCTGTGTGACATTATTTGATACAGACCAAGTCAGTTCAAATCAAACCTAGAGAGTTCAGACTGCCTTTCAATTAAGGATAGCCCAAAAGGCCCATGGACATTTCAGAAATTATACAGGTAGACAGAAAGTTCACTTTAATGTATGGATACTTAGTTACATGTGGAAACTTCTGTATTAGTATGAAATAAACTTTTGCTAGGTGCTCCATGTCCTGTACTTCATGTGTATGTGCTACCTTACTTATGTATGTTCACACTTACTTGTGAAAATCCCACAATAAGGTTTGGATTTATCAACCAGCAACATTCTGAGACCCAGCTCCATGTAGTGTTTTACAGAGATCTGAAAATAAATGTAAGGTCCAGTCTTCTTCTGTAAAACATATACAACATAGACTAGTCAGGATATTAAGGTATTTGAGACACAAAATATCTGATAAAAAAGCATTTACTTAATATTTAATGTACTGGATGTTTGAATTCCTATTATGTGTCATATGTGTGCTAGGCAGTATGAACAACTGAAGCCTCTTCCTTGACCAGTTTATATAAACCAGGTCTACACATAACTCTCTATTCCCTTGCTTGTTTTATTTTTATTTTTGCCATTTTAAATTGTTTTCTAGAACTTAGTGCTGGAAATAGTATGCATGCATTTGTTTATGGTCTGTCTTCCTCCATTGGAATAAAAGCAGGGATTTTTTGTTTGTGTTGAATTCCTAGAATTTAATGTAGTGCTTAGAACGTAAAAATGCTCAATAAGTATTTGTTGAATAAACGAAGAACTCCTGCAAACTAGAATTAGAGTAGGGCAAGACTAATATAAACTAACAGTGTTCAAGAAGCTCCATAGAGGAAAGTCCTCTTGGCCTAGCAGGGAATGAGAGGTGGGATGCTCACATGGGGAGAAGATTCCAGCTAAGGAGAAAGACAGAGTATCTCATAGCACAGTCTCTGAGGGCATCTGTTAATGTAATGGTTAAATCATTTCCTTGCCATGGGTTTCTGTAAAATTAGTTTCACATGTGGTCTTTCCCATTCCTAGAATTGGTAAGTATTTTTCAAATCCCCAAACGCTTTTGTTATGGTGGCTGTAAAGTTGAGTTTGAGAACTGCCTGGCATATGAAAAATAGGATAAACTTTTGTAGAAGTCATCAGTCGGATTGTAAAATTTATAAAAGCGTAAGAAGGATGGGCTTTTCTGTTCCAAATATCCTTATGGAGATTTAATTCCAATGGCATCCATGCAAATTTCCCAAAGCCTTATGGAATGACTGGGATTGATCGCAGTTGGGGCTGTGTTCTAGGCTGCAGTGAACACAGTTGGATCACAGAGACCTTTGTTTAGTCCTGGGGCCGGGTAAGCAGATATACCCATTCTCCTCATACCAAATTACAGTCATCTGTCTAAGGGAGTTATGATATTGTTAAAGGGCCATCAATCTCTTTCTTTATATGAGGATTCATCCAAGCACAACACTGTGGATACAAACAGGTGGCCTTAATTGGCTACTACCTTCCTAATCTAGTTCTTAAAGGGTACAGTTTGGATTTCAAAACCAGACTGTAAACTTGAGTTCAGAAATGGAGCAAATGCTCAGATGGTCATGCTCTTTTAAGGAAGAATTTTAAACAGAGTGACATCTGGTCAGAGAGTGAGGGCACAAGGTAAATATATCAGAATTGCTCATGACCAGACCTTTCCCACACCAAAGCACAGCCAGTTTAACAAAGTCCATGATTAGTAGTAGAGAAAGTAAGGTAGTTGTTCATAGTTCCCAGGAAAAAGTGAAGCAGTGTGCAAAAAATTAGGAGAGTTTGAGCAAATTCTCCAAGGCCTACTGAAAGCTATGTCTCCACCAGGTTAAATTCCAGCTTCAGCTCTGCAGCCCTGGATAAGTTACCTATGGGTAACCTACTTGAGTCTCAGTTTCCTCATATATACCATGAAGATAAGGGTACCTTTTCTACAGAGTTGTAGTATAATTAGTGTAGTTAAGTGGTCAACGATTGCTAGACTTAATTATTTTTATTAAAGAAAATGTGGCACATATACACCATGGAATATTATGCAGCCATAAAAAATGATGAGTTCATGTCCTTTGTAGGGACATGGATGAAGTTGGAAATCATCATTCTCAGTAAACTATCACAAGAACAAAAAACCAAACACCGCATATTCTCACTCATAGGTGGGAATTGAACAATGAGAACACATGGACACAGGAAGGGGAACATCACACTCTGGGGACTGTTGTGGGGTGGGGGGAGGGGGGAGGGATAGCTTTAGGAGATGTACCTAATGCTAAATGACGTGTTAATGGGTGCAGCACACCAGCATGGCACATGTATACATATGTAACTAACCTGCACATTGTGCACATGTACCCTAAAACTTAAAGTATAATAATAATAAAATAAAAAAAAGGGAACTAAGGTGGTTAGAAAATTCAAAGGGTAAAAATTAAAGAAATTAAATCAATAATTCCAGAACAAAAAAGAAGTACACCAGCCATTCCACCTGTTTCTTAATTTTTCAAAAAAGAAAGAAAAGATCAATCAACTTATGTTTTATAATAGCCTCTCATTTGGAATCTAAAGCATGTCCAAGTTTACCATAGCAATTGACAGATAAGAAAGCATAAAAGGAAGAAGGAAACTGGATGGAGGAACAGGTGGACTAGTGTCAAGGCTGTAGTAGAATATGTCTTTTAATCAACCAATTGCCCTATTCTCTACTAGAGGTCTAACCCTACTCTTTGCTTTTACAGACACTTATAATACGTAATAACTTACATTGTATCTAACTAGCATTGATCAAATTACAAACAAAATATAAACAATGTGCACTGACCAGAAGAAGACTATAATTAAAGTCTCTTGACTAAACATGACTATATAACTATGCTTAATATACCAGGATATCAGCCTCCTAAAATTAATTATCTCCCTAATGCAAGTTGTGTGCTATCAGAATAACCAATTTACTTTTTTCAACAATCTATTCACACCAGTTTGCAATTAAGATTCAAAAAGCCAAGTCCTGATGAGCAAGGAAGTCATAAATGATGCATGACTGTCCTACTTTTATGTAATGTTACATCTATTATTCTGCTTTAATTGCCTAGCATGCTTTTTAATTTGTGAAAAATTAATGCTGGGGTTATTTTATACAGATTATACCTACTTTGAAGGTAACCATTCTAGGAAGCATATTATAAATATAAGTATGTCATCTTTTTAAATTTAGCAAGCTGATTCCTAAAATGGTCAATTAAATTTTAATAGTTTTTTTTGTTTAACTGACATCCTTTTTAGTCCAAAGATTCTAATGAACCAATTATCTATTGTTTCATCTTGCTTCATAACAGGGTGAAATATTTCTTGGGTATTTTCATCACTGTTTTTGTGTTCAGAATTTAAGGATTCAGGAACACTCACATCTTAGAAAATGTCCAGTACTTTAAACTGTTGAATCTCCATTCTGTTCAGAACAACTCTCTGGGAGTTGTAGTGCCCAAAGCGAAACTCTTGGTTGCCTGTGATCTTGACTCTGGCAATGCTACTACTCCACAATCCCTCCTTTAGTAAATTCCACTGCCATGCTAGGATCCTGGGTTAAGGCAATGTTCCAGGCAAGTGTTTTAATTATAAAGAACAGATAGCCTCGCTGAGATAAGGCAGAAGAGGAAAGTTGTAAAGATACAAAAGGGTAATTTTGTAGACATCCAAAG
Organism: Homo sapiens; assembly: GCF_000001405.40. Classification (NCBI taxonomy): domain Eukaryota; kingdom Metazoa; phylum Chordata; class Mammalia; order Primates; family Hominidae; genus Homo; species Homo sapiens. The sequence continues at coordinate 70,864,067 of NC_000012.12, forward strand.
ACAGCCAAGACTCACGTATATTGTATCTGGAAGCTGCAAAATCAGAAAATGAAATTCTCTTCTATCTCCCAGTGACTGCATTAGTTGTGCATATTCCTTTTGTGCATGACCAGACTGGCAACCAGTCCCTAATCCCTAGCATGACCCATTTGACCAAGCATCCTCCACTTTGTTGTCTCTTGGTTTGGGTTATGAAAAGGGAAAAGCTCTGAAATGCTAAGCTTATTTCTTGGGAATGCTCTTTGCAACAGGCCATGCCATAGGTTTCTGGTCAGCCAAAGATAGGGAGTCCTTGGCTTAGGAATCTTCTGTGGTCCCCTAATCTGTGGTCAGAAGAGAGGGTCACATGATCAATAGGGTTGATTTTCCAGGGCCTGTGGGAGGCAGGCACTCACAATGAATTTGTCTCCATCATGACTGCTATTGTTACTTCAAGCAAATATGCATAATTAAGTTCTCATAAATGTAAGCTATCATTATAAATACCATCATCACTATCAGAGTTCATTCATTCAACACATATTTGTTAATATTCCATTATGTGCCAGTCACTCTCTGAGACTGGACATAAAGATGACGATATGGTTTGGCTGTGTCCCCACCAAAATCTCATCTTGAATTGTAGCTCCCATAATTACCATGTGTTGTGGGAGGGACCTGGTGAGAGAGAATTGAATCATAGATGCAGTTTCCCTCATACTGTTCCCATGGTAGTGAATAAGTCTCACAAGATCCGATGATTTTGTTGCTGTTGTTGTTTTTGAGATGGAGCTCTCACTCTGTTGCTCAGGCTAGAGTACAGTGGTGGGATCTCCACTCACTGCAACCTCCACTTCCCGGGTTCAAGTGATTCTCCTGCCTTAGCCTCCTGAGTAGCTGGGATTACAGGCGTGCGTCACCACACCTGGCTAATTTTTTTTGTATTTTTAGTACAGACGGGGTTTTACCATGTTGGTCAGGCTGGTCTCGAACTCCTGACCTTGTGATCCGCCCGCCTTGGCCTCCCAAAGTGCTGGGATTACAGGCATGAGCCATTGTGCCCGACCGAGATCTGATGATTTTATAACGGGTTTCTCCTTTTGTTTGGCCCTCATTTCTCTCTTGCCTGTCGCCATGTAAGACGTGCCTTTTGCCTTCTGAGAATGATCGTGAGGCCTCCCCAGCTACGTGGAACTGTGAGTCCATTAGACCTCTTTTTCTTTATAAATTACCCAGTCTCAGGTGTATCTTTATCAGCAGCATGCAAACAGACTAATACAGATGAAGAAAGTCTTTATTTGAAATAAAGCAGATCCTAAACATTAAGGAACTGATATACTTACGAGACAGATTGGGAAGAGGAAAGGATGGTCACCTTCCAAATGACAGAGGACAGGTGGAAAATTTTCCTCCAGTGAAACGGAAGGGATACTAAAATGATGATGAGAAATGCCTCGCCTAGGTGTTGGTGGATTAAAGGCTGAGAGAGTCAGGCAGAAAAAAGAAATATCCAAAGGGAAGATCCAGCTAACCTACAAATCTTAGGATGATACTGAATGATAACGCTCATCCTCTGCTTCGTCTGAACCCATGTGGATTAACTCAAAGTTTTCTAATATATATGAAGTTACAGTCCCTGACAAAATTATCTGAACAAATGTCCTCTAAGATGTATGTTAATGCTTTGTTTTAGAATCACTGTTGTAAACTCAGATACTTAATACAGGGTCCAAGCAGTTCAAACAAATGAGTAGAACATACCAGATATAATATGGCAAGATCTAAGGTGATTGAGAGAGCACGTATTCTGTCTAAAGAGAGAAGCCATGACGCAACCACCTCAAAACAAGACACTGTTATACCAGATCTCTTAATTTTTTAAAGAAATACTGGGTAGATAACGAAATGAAGGCAGAAATAAAGATGTTCTTTGAAACCAATGAGAACAAAGACACAACATACCAGAATCTCTGGGACACATTCAAAGCAGTGTGTAGAGGGAAATTTATAGCACTAAATGCCCACAAGAGAAAGCAGGAAAGATCCAAAATTGACACCCTAACATCACAATTAAAAGAACTAGAAAAGCAACAGCAAACACATTCAAAAGCTAGCAGAAGGCAAGAAATAACTAAAATCAGAGCAGAACTGAAGGAAATAGAGACACAAAAAACCCTTCAAAAAATTAATGAATCCAGGAGGTGGTTTTGTGAAAGGATCAACAAAATCGATAGACCGCTAGCAAGACTAATAAAGAAAAGAGAGAAGAATCAAATAGATGCAATAAAAAATGATAAAGGGGATATCACCACCGATCCCACAGAAATACAAACTACCATCAGAGAATACTACAAACACCTCTATGCAAATAAACTAGAAAATCTAGAAGAAATGGATAAATTCCTCGACACATACACCCTCCCAAGACTAAACCAGGAAGAAGTTGAATCCCTGAATAGACCAATAACAGGCTCTGAAATTGTGGCAATAATCAATAGCTTACCAACCAAAAAAAGTCCAGGACCAGATGGATTCACAGCCGAATTCTACCAAAGGTACAAGGAGGAACTGGTACCATTCCTTCTGAAACTATTCCAATCAATAGAAAAAGAGGGAATCCTCCCTAACTCATTTTATGAGGCCAGCATCATCCTGATACCAATGCCTGGCAGAGACACAACCAAAAAAGAGAATTTTAGACCAATATCCTTGATGAACATTGATGCAAAAATCCTCAATAAAATACTGGCAAAACGAATCCAGCAGCACATCAAAAAGCTTATCCACCATGATCAAGTGGGCTTCATCCCTGGGATGCAAGGCTGGTTCAACACATGCAAATCAATAGATGTAATACAGCATATAAACAGAACCAAAGACAAAAACCGCATGATGATCTCAATAGATGCAGAAAAGGCCTTTGACAAAATTCAAAATTCAGCAACCCTTCATGCTAAAAACTCTCAATAAATTAGGTATTGGTAGGACGTATCTCAAAATAATAAGAGCTATCTATGACAAACCCACAGCCAATATCATACTGAATGGGCAAAAACTGGAAGCATTCCCTTTGAAAACTGGCACAAGACAGGGATGCCCTCTCTCACCACTCCTATTCAACATAGTGTTGGAAGTTCTGGCCAGGGCAATTAGGCAGGAGAAGGAAATAAAGGGTATTCAATCAGGAAAAGAGGAAGTCAAATTGTCCCTGTTTGTAGATGACATGATTGTATATCTAGAAAACCCCATTGTCTCAGCCCAAAATCTCCTTAAGCTGATAAGCAACTTCAGCAAAGTCTCAGGATACAAAATCAATGTACAAAAATCACAAGCATTCTTATACACCAATAACAGACAGAGAGCCAAATCACGAGTGAACTCCCATTCACAATTGCTTCAAAGAGAATAAAATACCTAGGAATCCAACTTACAAGGGATGTGAAGGACCTCTTCAAGGAGAACTACAAACCACTGCTCAATGAAATAAAAGAGGATACAAACAAATGGAAGAACATTCCATGCTCATGGGTAGGAAGAATCAATATCGTGAAAATGGCCATACTGCCCAAGGTAATTTATAGATTCAATGCCATCCCCATCAAGCTACCAATGACTTTCTTCACAGAATTGGAAAAAACTACTTTAAACTTCATATGGAACCAAAAAAGAGCCCACATCACCAAGTCAATCCTAAGCCAGAAGAACAAAACTAGAGGCATCACGCTACCTGACTTCAAACTATACTACAAGGCTACAGTAACCAAAACAGCATTGTACTGGTACCAAAACAGAGATACAGATCAATGGAACAGAACAGAGCCCTCAGAAATAATGCCGCATATCTACAACCATCTGATCTTTGACAAACCTGACAAAAACAAGCAATGGGGAAAGGATTCCCTATTTAACAAATGGTGCTGGGAAAACTGGCTAGCCATATGTAGAAAGCTGAAACTCGATCCCTTCCTTACACCTTATACAAAAATTAATTCAAGATGGATTAAAGACTTACATGTTAGACCTAAAACCATAAAAACCCTAGACGAAAACCTAGGCAATACCATTCACGACATAGGCATGAGCAAGGACTTCATGTCCAAAACACAAAAAGCAATGGCAATAAAAGACAAAATTGACAAATGGGATCTAATTAAACTAAAGAGCTTCTGCACAGCAAAAGAAACTACCATCAGAGTGAGCAGGCAACCTACAAAATGGGAAAAAATTTTCGCAACCTACTCATCTGACAAAGGGCTAATATCCAGAATCTACAATGAACTCAAACAAATTTACAAGAAAAAAAAAAACAACCCCATCAAAAAGTGGGAAAGGATATGAACAGACACTTCTGAAAAGAAGACATTTATGCAGCGAAAAGACACATGAAAAAATGCTCATCATCACTGGCCATCAGAGAAATGCAAATCAAAACCACAATGAGATACCATCTCACACCAGTTAGAATGGCAATCATTAAAAAGTCAGGAAACAACAGGTGCTGGAGAGGATGTGGAGAAATGGGAACACTTTTACACTGTTGGTGGGACTGTAAACTAGTTCAACCCTTGTGGAAGTCAGTGTGGCGATTCCTCAGGGATCTAGAACTAGAAATACCATTTGACCCAGCCATCCCATTACTGGGTATATACCCAAAGGATTATAAATCATGCTGCTATAAAGACACATGCACATGTATGTTGATTGCAGCACTATTCACAATAGCAAAGACTTGGAACCAACCCAAATGTCCAACGATAGACTGGATTAAGAAAATGTGGCACATATACACCATGCAATATTATGCAGCCATAAAAAATGATGAGTTCATGTCCTTTGTAGGGACATGGATGAAACTGGAAATCATCATTCTCAGCAAACTATCACAAGGACAAAAAACCAAACACCGCATGTTCTCACTCATAGGTGGGAATTGAGCAATGAGAACACATGGACACAGGAAGGGGAACATCACACTCTGGGGACTGTTGTGGGGTGGGGGGAGGGGGGAGGGATAGCATTAGGAGATATACCTAATGCTAAATGACGAGTTAATGGGTGCAGCACACCAACATGGCACATGAATACATATGTAACAAACCTGCACATTGTGCACTTGTACCCTAAAACTTAAAGTATAATAATAATAAAATTAAAAAAAATACTTAAAATGTATTTTTAGACAATAGAATTCCAAATTTAAGAAAAAAGGCTCACTGAGGGTCACTCAAAATATGTCTGGTCCAGTTTGTGGTCTATAAATTGCAAGCCCTGTTTGACAGTGAAGAGTGCAGATTGACCTGGCAATCACAGTCTTGCTTTGAGGAGACTCACACGAGGGGAACTCCAGATGCTGCGTCCTAGAAGTTGATGGAGCTGTCCTGAGTTGCCCAAAGTGGGACACTATTATCCATGGAGAAATCAACAGGGTTAGCAACTGTGGTAGACTGAATAATAGGCCCCCAAAGAGGTCTGTGTTTTAATTCTTGGGACCTGTGAATATTACTTTATGTGGTAAAAGGGACTTTGTCGATGTGATTAAGTTAACTATCTTGCCATGGGAGATTATCCTGGATTAGTAGGCCCAATATAATCACTGGAGTTCTTACAAGAGGGAGGGTCAGAATCAGAGAGAGAAGGAGATATGATGGCTGATGAAGAGGTCAGATGGGGCATTGCTATAAGGGGACCATTAGCCAAGGAATGAGGTGGTCTATAGAAGGTGGAAAAGGCAAGGAACCAATTTTTCCCCTAGAATCTCCGGAAGGAATTAGCCTTGTAGACACCTTGACATTAGCCAAAAACAGTGATTTTGCACTTGTAACTTCCAGAACTATAAGATAATAAATTTGTATTCTTGAAGCTACCATGTTTGCAGTCATATGTTACAGCAGCCATAGGAATCTAACACAGCCATACAGAAGTTCACAAAGAGTTGGACAACCTCTTCTGGTCAGAGAGAAGGCTGTGGGAGGGGAGAGTCAAAGAGGAAACATTTTCACCGGACCCATGCCATGAATTTAAGAGCTCCTTGACCCTGAAGGAAACTACTGTCTATTAGAAGGCCCTCAGCCTTCTCTACATAAACAATTATTCTGCTGGGAGCCCAGGACAGTAGCCATCAATCATCTCCAGTTCTGATCAGACCATTTCCAAAGCCCACAGATGAAAGGGGATGCAGAGCAACATGATGGAAAGAACATCATCTTTAAAATAAATGAGATACTTTGAGTGACGGCCTACCTGAGCCTCAATGTCATTATCTGCAAAATGGGAATAATAATATCACACAGAGTTATGAGACAGTAGAATGAAAAACCTCTACCATAGTGCTTTGTGAATATAGGAACCCTATAAATGGAAGAAATTGATTTGTTATTCCCTACTGCTACTCTTTATTCTGCAGATTTGCTATTATCACAAGATTAAGTTTTGCTCCCTATTCTCAGCAAATTAGCGCTCAATGGGAATGACAACAAAAATCTTTACATCTCATTTCAATGTCCTAATCTCCCAAAGACAGTGAATGAACATATGCTTCCGGCACTGTTAAAACGTTAGACTTACAATAAAACCTCCTGTCACTGGAATGTCAAAAGAATGAGAGGCTTCTCAAAAAGTTAACCATCCTAAGTCATCCTGACAACTATCATGTCCAATATGTACACTGTGTTGCTGATGCTTGTTAAAGAAGAGTTCAATTGTAGCAGCTTCAGACTGTGTGCTTGTGGCATTCAGCAGTCTTCAGGCTCTGCAAAGATGCACAGTAACATTTTGACCAAGATTTCCACAGTATTATTGCATTAATTAATACTGTGCAATATGTAAAGCAACATGAGCAGAGAATATGTAAAGCAACATGAATTCACAGACTTGTTCTTGAATAAAACAGGCAATGGGCACAAACACATTTTAGAGTAGACTAAAAATATAACCAACACTTGGGAAATAGAGGTTCACTGAACTTTGAAATCCAAAACCAGCATCACAAACTCAAATGATCTCAGGAGCCAGGAAGGAAGGCCAATGAGTAACGGAGAGGGATCTACCAGTGTTAAGGCTTGTGGCAAATTGGGTTGTAGGCTCTGCTTGAGGGTGCTCCCCTTCAATTCCATTCAAACATCACAGACTAACAGACTCTCTGTGGGCTAACTTTAGCTGATAGGCTGTGATGTGTAGCCCCTCTGGCAAATGGGTACTTGGCCAAAAACTTCAATAGCAGCAAACTCAGCCTGAGGGATACATAGGATTAGGAGAAGTTTGTCTTCAGAGCTGCTCATTCCACAAATCACCCTTGCTCCCACTCCTACATCTTAGGTGTGCATGCCCTGCGCTTTGCACTCTGACTGCTCACATCTCCCCTCGCACCTGGCCTGACTTTGCTCTTAGAGGCTATTCCAAACCTAGATCATTCTTTCTCTCCATGGGCAAAATTATGTATCTGAAGGCTCATTCATTCCCTTAGGACAAGGGTAGGAATCTACAGTTTCCCTGGTATAGCAATATACATTCTAATTTCAGTATCAATAAAGCATGCTGTAGAAATGAATACTTTGTTGGCAATATTTAGAAAAATTATATGGGGACTGTCTCAGTACTTGAGTATGGTAAACATCAAGTTCTACAATGTATACAGAGATATACCATCACATGATACTCCAGAAATATATATGGTTATTATTTGTCAGTTAAGAGTAAAATTAAAGACTTTAATCATCTCTGATATCCTAGAAATTAAATGTTCCTGTTAGAGTAAATTGTTCTCTGATAGTGAAATTTTAGGCTGTGACAAACTGCTTGAGTATATATTTTTGAGCAGGGAAACTCTTATCACCTCAGGTCACACCTTGGCCTCATTCCCATAAAGATTATAATAATGATGAGTGAAGACAGCTAGAAGAGTTTGGAGAAGTAACAACACTGGCCTTCAGAGTGGCTCTCTTGAGCCTGTTCTTGTAAAAACAAACATTTGTCTGAACACCAAACAACAAATAAATTTAGTAATCTTATTTCTTAGCTCTATTTTTTTCTTATAAAATAGACGTGATTTTCATAAACAGATTTGATTGTAGCCACATTTAGTTTTTTTTTCTAAAGTTCATTCTGTAAAAGGCCATCTAAAAATGTAAACAGAAATTACATTTAGATATAACTTTTATTTCATGCTTGTAAAATTACTTGTATTTCTATAGAAGATCACATAATGGCACATGAAGTAGGCTTTAGGAACCAGGGTTATTGAGCATGTGGACACTGGAAATGGTCTTCCTGAGTTTGAGGCCTTGCATACAATATATTGCCCATATTAAATGTTTTTCAAAGGAAAGATAGCAGAAACATCCTCCTGCTTGTTTACAGAATCCACCAAGTCAGCCGCTTGCGGTGGCTCACACCTGTAATCCCAGCACTTTGGGAGGCCGAGGCAGGCGGATCATGAGGTCAGGAGATCGAGACCATCCTGGCTAACATGATGAAACCCCGTCTCTACTAAAAATACAAAAAAATTAGCCAGGCGTGGTGGCGGGTGCCTGTAGTCCCAGCTACTCGGGAGGCTGAGGCGGGAGAATGGCATGAACCCAGGAGGCAGAGCTTGCATGAGCCAAGATCGCACCACTGCACTCCAATCTGGGCGACAGAGTGAGACTCTGTCTCAAAAAAAAAAAAAAAAAAAAAAAAAACAATCCACCAAGTCAACCATTTTGCCTTTTCAGGGCAAGGGTAAATGTGTGACAATGACAATCTTAAATGAGATGACTTTGTTAGAGAGCCTATTCATAGACAGTAACTCAGTAAATGATGGCTGTTGTAATCCATCCAGTGATGTCTGATGTTCCTACTAGAAGAAATATAACAATGAACTTTAAAACAATTTTATGATATCTGGCATTTGTGCATAATATAAATATTTCAAAGTGTTTTAATTTATTTGATCATTACTAAAATCCTTGTGAGGGAAACAGAACTGATATTAATATCCTGATTTTTATGAGAAAAAAATGAATTCAGATGATCCAGTTCAAGGTTCTTTTTGTCTCTGATGAGCTTCCTGTCTCAAACAAGCCATCTCATATTTCTTGGGGCTATCCACAAAATAAGTGAGTTGGACAGGTGGTAGGTAAGACTCCTACGCCTATGAGTAGTTTATAAATTTGGAGATCAAGTGACTGAAATGATCAAGACTTCACAGTGGAGCAAAATGATCAGGCTGCCAGCTCTCCATGATGTGGAACTGAGCCTTGAGACTCACTCCCTCTTGTCAGTGCCCAGGGTGATGGAACCCTGAGAGAGCAACTTATGCCAGTCAAAATGCCTGGGAAATGAAGGTGCCTAGGGATTTTATTTACACTGAGAAACAATTGCAGAGGAACCAGAATTCTTAAAATCCTTTTTATTGTTGCATTTTCACCCTGAAGTCAAGCTGGATGAGATGCCCATCTCTAAACAGAAGTCAGCTTTGTTGAGTCTACAATAAAAGTAAAAGGAATTGAAATGAACAATGCAACGTCTTTAAGAGAACTGAGGGATTTTCTCACTGTGGATGAATCTATGGAACAAAAATATGTGGAATCCTCTGATGAAGACTAGCTTCCCTGGGAGAGTGCTGGATGTACAGGACCACACTTACCATGTGTTACTTTTCCTTCTGTGTGATATCTTTATTATCTTTTCCTGAAGTCATATGTCTAGGCTGCAATTTTATCATGAGAATATACCAGGGACAATGTCGGGGAGTGGTGGGGGGTGGGTAAGAGAAAATACATGTTTCCACATGGCAGTGTTTGGGACACTCTAAAAATCAGAGTGTTTGTGAATGTGAGTGTTGTGATAGCAGTATGTGGGTAAGTGTAAACATACAGCATTATAGAATTTGTCAGGATGTCATAATGGAGATAGCCACTCTATTCTAAGCTGATGATTTTAGGTTAAAAAGTTTTCCTGCTATGTGCTAAGTGGGTTCTGAGGCTACTAATACCCTAATTAGACTGAAAGTGGTATTCAACAGCTTTAAGGAGCAGAACTCAAGCCTTTTAACTGTCCTTTATTAACTAAGATACTTTTCTGGAAGGCAACTTTTCTTTAAGAACTGAATGATTATTAAAATATCAAGCTAAAATCATAAACAGTACTCTTTGGGCCCATACTTTTACTCTTCAGTAAGAGTCTTATTGACTGATGTTTAAATATTTTGAACAAAAAAAGTCCCCTGATTTTAATGCCCAAACTTTTCAAACATATCAGAGACAACCAAATAAGTAGAGTGGTGGCATGGGCAAGGAGACCACTGGAGTCAGGCACAGGTGGCGACCAAGATATTCAGAGAGAGTCAGGAAACTCACAAAGCTAACAGACTGCACGATGCAGTAAAGAATGATGAATGATCTGGAGTTGTACAGAAAGGGCAAGTTATTTTTGGTAACTTCTTTGAGAAACTAGAATAATAATGAGATATAAATTTATGCCTTTCAGTCACAAAAACAAAGAGTGATTCTGGTAGGGATGAATGGTGGATACTCCAGAAATTATTGGTGGAAATGCAAATTGTCATTATCTTTCGGGAAACAATTCAGTTACATATAACTTTTGTTAAAAAGCAACCTCGGCCAGGCACGGTGGCTCACGCCTGTAATCCCAGCACTTTGGGAGGCCAAGGTGGGTGGATCACGAGGTCAAGAGATTGAGACCATCCTGGCCAACATGGTGAAACCCTGTCTCCACTAAAAATACAAAAATTAGCTGGGCGTGGTGGCGTGCACCTATAGTACCAGCTGCTCCAGAGCCTGAGGCAGGGGAATCGCTTGAACCCAGGAGGAGGAGGTTGCAGTTAGCGGAGATCGGGCCACTGCACTCCAGCCCAGTGACAGAGTGAGACTCCATCTCAAAAAAAAAAAAAAAAAAAAAATAGCAACCTCACGTTTGGGAATCTGTTCCACAGAAATAAAAGCACTAGCACGTAGCAGCAAATGTACAAAGATCTTTTTATAACATTATTCATATGGCCAAAAATAAAGGTATTAACAATGTGAATTATCATTCATAGAGGAATGGTTGAATAACTTATGGTATAACCATACCATGAAGTAATATGCACCATTAAAAAGAATCAGTTAGAATCATGAATCATGACCATTGAGTAGGAAAGTTTTCCCTGGATATTACTGAGACAGAAAGGAAAAATAAAGCAGAGAAGTGTCTATAATATTAGACCACGTTTGTAGAATACAAAACAACACAATTTCTATATGGATATGTGTAGGTATAAATGTACATATTTTTGTGTGATTGTGCATGTATGAGTGTATGATTATTTAAACATGAAGAAAATAAATGGAAGAATACATATACATATTGGGTTCTTAGCATGATGGACCAGGAGATACGGAGGTTCAATAGAAGACAATGAAGTGGGTAAAAGAATGGAGAAGAGGGGAAGGAAGCCAATAAAATGTCAAACAAAAATGGCTGCAACAAAAATGAAATCAATGATTTCTTACCTATGTAGAAGTATACATGCAGAAGTTTATCTACATATAAAGAAACCAGGGAATTATAAATAAGTTAAATCCGCCTTGTAAGAATGACTGGGATTTATTGCTAAGTAGAAAAAAAAAAAAAGACAGGGTCACAAAAGGTAGTTTTTTGAAAGAGACAAAAATGTTTGAACACAAAACAATTTTTAAAAAAAGACACAGAAAAAAGGGAAGTGATTATGTAGGAAGAAATATCTGTAACCCATATGGCAGACAAATGGATTATGTTCCAATAAACAAAGAGCAGCTACAAACTGTTGAGAAAGAGATAACCCAATATACCAGATAAGATTAAACAATTTGCATGAGAGGAATTCCAAGTAACTGATACACATGAAAGATGTTGTCCTTTTCCATAGTCAGGGAGATGCAAAGGAAAGCAGTAATGAGGTACAGTTTTCACCTCCCTGGTCAGCAAAAATTAAAAAGAACAACAATGAACTACTCCTGGTAAGACTATGAGTACATCAGGCACCTTTATGCACATTGCTGGTGGGAAGATAAATTGCTACAACTTTTCAAAAAATAATAATTTGGTAATTTATTAATTAAAATACTCTTGGGCTAAAAAATCTTTCTTTTGAAAATCTATCCAATTGACATATATATGTAAATGGAAAAGGAAGTCAATGGAAAAGGACATATATATGTAAATGTAAAAGGAAACATGTAGTATATATAATATATACATAAATATGTATCATTTATACACATACATAGACATGTTCCTCTTTCTCCAAAGATTTCTATAAAAGATGATTATCATAGCAATTTTGTGTGGCAAACATAAAACACATACACAAAGAATGAACTCTGTAAATGAAATAGATGTACATTGACTCAGAAGAATAGTTTCAGAAAGTAGTGTATATACAAACGTGAAAATTATGCAGCTATTTAGAAGAAATAATTTGACTTTATATCTAAAGACTGAGTTATACCTATGACATATTAAGAAAAGCCACTTGCAGAGTAAGTATGACCCAATTTTCAGAACAATACAAATTTATGTATGTATTTAAAGGAAATATAAATTAAAAAGATTTACATCCCTACATGAGTGTAAGCTTCAATTACCTAGAGTGTGTGTTTAATTGTATGGCATCTTTATTACTTGATCTTCCCTAATAAATTGGGAGTTATTTTGCATTTGGATTAATAACATCTTTTTTAAAAAATAGTCTTCTTTCTAACAGAAGTTGCTGATAATATAGCTAATGTTAAGAACTCAAAGGAAAATCGCTACATTATTTAATTCAAAAAAAATTTAGGTGAAATGAATGAGTCAGATCTAGAAGTAGGTGATAAGAGGTGAACATATGGCAAGTGTTGGGTAGCACATTCTGGCTGATGGAAAAGATGTTTGGGCTCTCAGGAGATAAGAGTAGCAGTTGGGTGTCTCACAAGAAGGGTGGACCACGGTGACATGAAAAGCTATCACCAGGTAGAAGTGGGCTGGCTGTGAGATCCAAAGTTCAAAGTCAAAACTAGTAAGCAGCCAGCTTTCCAGTCTCAGAGGAACTGACGTGCCAGTTGGCTCAACAAAGCAGACACTCAGGCAGGGAAGATGAGGTAACTAGAAATGGAATGTAAGTAGGGCTTCGGTCAGGCCAGCACATGTGGCTGTGTAGGCTGTGTGATGCACAGCTCCAGGGAATGCCATTTACTTAAACTGAAGTGTGAAGGGTACCTCCTAAATTTGTCCAAGGCAAGAAGCCCATTACACTTCTAAGATTTACTCCAAAATCAGAGTAGATCAGCAACAGAATGAAAACCCTGTCAATTATCATCATGGTCATCCCCACTACCAATACCAGAACCATGATAACTGACATAATTACAATTCAATGTGCTTTACAGAACACATTTACTGATGCCAGAAAGAATCAAATGAGGTATCCAGGTCAGGTATTACAATTACCATTAACATGCCCATTCACAATTGCTTCAAAGAGAATAAAATACCTAGGAATCCAACTTACAAGGGATGTGAAGGAACTACAAACCACTGCTGAATGAAATAAAAGAGGATACAAACAAATGGAAGAACATTCCATGCTCACGGGTAGGAAGAATCAATATGGTGAAAATGGCCATACTGCCCAAGGTAATTTATAGATTCAATGCCATCCCCATCAAGCTACCAATGACTTTCTTCACAGAATTGGAAAAAAACTACTTCAAAGTTCATATGGAACCAAAAAAGAGCCTGCATTGCCAAGTCCATCCTAAGCCAAAAGAACAAAGCTGGAGGCATCACACTACCTGACTTCAAACTATACTACAAGGCTACAGTAACCAAAACAGCATGGTACTGGTACCAAAACAGAGATATAGATCAATGGAACAGAACACAGCCCTAAGAAATAATGCTGCATATCTACAACTATCTGATCTTTGACAAACCTGAGAAAAACAAGCAATGGGGAAAGGATTCCCTATTTAACAAATGGTGCTGGGAAAACTGGCTAGCCATATGTAGAAAGCTGAAACTCGATCCCTTCCTTACACCTTATACAAAAATTAATTCAAGATGGATTAAAGACTTACATGTTAGACCTAAAACCATAAAAACCCTAGACGAAAACCTAGGCAATACCATTCACGACATAGGCATGAGCAAGGACTTCATGACTAAAACACCAAAAGCAATGGCAACAAAAGCCAAAATTGACAAATGGGATCTAATTAAACTAAAGAGCTTCTGCACAGCAAAAGAAACTACCATCAGAGTGAACAGGCAACCTTCAGAATGGGAGAAAACTTTTGCAAGCTGCTCACCTGACAAAGGGCTAATATCCAGAATCTACAATGAACTCAAACAAATTTACAAGAAAAAAACAAACAACCCCATCAAAAAGGGGGCAAAGGATATGAACAGACACTTCTCAAAAGAAGACATTTATGCAGCGAAAAGACACATGAAAAAATGCTCATCATCACTGGCCATCAGAGAAATGCAAATCAAAACCACAATGAGATACCATCTCACACCAGTTAGAATGGTGATCATTAAAAAGTCACGAAACAGCAGGTGCTGGAGAGGATGTGGAGAAATAGGAACACTTTTACACTGTTGGTGGGACTGTAAACTAGTTCAACCACTGTGGAAGACAGTGTGGCGATTCCTCAAGGATCTAGAACTAGAAATACCATTTGACCCAGCCATCCCATTACTGGGTATATACCCAAAGGATTATAAGTCAAGCTGCTATAAAGGCACATGCACACGTATGTTTATTGCAGCACTATTCACAATAGCAAAGACTTGGAACCAACCCAAATGTCCATCAATCATAGACTGGATTAAGAAAATATGGCACATAATACAACATGGAATACTATGCAGCCATAAAAAAGGATGAGTTCATGTCCTTTGTAGGGACATGGATGAAGCTGGAAACCATCATTCTCAGCAACCTATTGAAAGAACAAAAAACCAAACACCACATGTTCTCACTCATAGGTGGGAATTGAACAATGAGAACACTTGGACACAGGAAGGGGAACATCACACACCAGGGCCTGTTGTGGGGTGTGGGGAGGGGGAAGGGAAAGCATTGGGAGATATACCCAATGTAAATGACTAGTTAATGTGTGCAGCACACCAACATGGCACATGTATACATATGTAACAAACCTGCACATTGCACACATGTACCCTAGAACTTTAAGTATAATTAAAAAGAAAAAAACGATATGTAAAACCAACTGATGGCACATTATATTGCAAAGCAAGGTATCCTTTTGTAGTTACCTCCCTCCTTGTTTATTTTTAATGTTGATAAACAATTTGAAGAATAGAAATTTACAGATCCTATTGTAAAAAAAAAAAAAAGAAGAAACAAAGACTCAGAAATGTTCATTGATTTTTCCCACGATCTCAAAGGCAGTCTATAGTAGAACAAGCACATGAACCCGTCATGTCTACTTCCAAAACCATTCTGTTACCACTGCCTCAAGCTGCTCACATTAGGAAGGAGAATTGGTCCCCAACATTAAGATTGGACTGATGTTGGGGCTTGCTGAGCAATGAGCCAAACAGAACATTATGTATATTGTAATTCTATCTTAAGAAATATAGTTTCTTTTTTTCATGCTCAATGGATAAACAATTTCTCCCTGTAAGGGGAGTTCTTGCTGTGTAGTATTCAGACTCAACTTGTCCACACTGATTGCTATTTTGGCGTAGTGACTGTTTAGACAGAATATGTTACAGAAAAGATTTGGGGCAGCTTGCAAAAACACGCATAATACAAAATATAATTGAATAAAAAGTAAGGAAATAAAAAAATTAAATTAGAGGAAAAATGAGTGAAGAAAACATCCAGCCAAGAATGAGGTTAGTTCACAAAATAAATTAGGCATTCAGTAAAGGTCTCTGTATTTGTTAGACGTAAACCACAATTTTGGCCCTCAGCTTTTTAGCAGTCAAAGGAAATAAAATAATCATGATTCTCTGCATTTAAAAGTATAATCACCAGCCAACCAATGGCTTAGGAGAAATACAAGTTTTCTTGGTACTGAGGCCAAAAAGATACATTTTTCATTGTTCCATATAATGTTAATAATAACAGTCAATTTTTATAAGGATCTTAGTATGTGTCAAGAGTGATGCTAAATGCTTTCAATACCTTATGTCATTCAATTCCCATAATTCCATAGGGTGGGTATTATGAGTATCACTTTTTTTTATAAACAAGGAAACTGAAATACAAGATGCTAACTTAGTCATTGAAGGAAACACAATTAATTAGTAAATGCCTAATTTGGGATCCTAACACAGTTCTACTGACTCCATAGTTATTCTTCTACCACACAGCTTCTAATTATACCTTGATTTACTCTCAAAGTATCTCTGAATATCTAACAGAATCCTTCAATATCCAGTGTAAGGTAGTCCCCACTATTTTCTCCCTGCCACATGGTTTTGTTTTGTTTTTTTCATTGCACTTAGCACTATCCGAAATTATCATGTTCATTTGTTTACTTGTTTTGTTGTCTTTCTTCGATTAGAATATAAACTACACAGCTGCAATGATCTTGTTTATCTTGTTCCCTATTGTATCCCTAGAGTCTGTTGTACTGCTTAGAGTTCAGCAGAAATTAAATAATTTTTTTGAATGAATGAATGTTTCAAGGAGCAAGAATTCAGTGTCCATTCGAAATCTTTACACATCTGAGAAGCCCATTGTCCTTGCTTATTTCTAGTTCCTTACAGATATTACTTACAGATTCTCAAGTCTCCATGACTTATTTATGCTCCTCACCAGAATGTATTGTTTCCTTTAACTTGGCTATTTTTAATAATCCAGCTTGGCATAGACTTGATTTTATCAATTTGATTTTTTATTTTAAAAGTTATACTTAACATATAGATGACATCATCATTTGTAATACATGAAAAAAAATTTTGTAATTCATTTTCCCACACACAATGACTGCTGATTTTTTAAAGCCTATATCCAAAGAATTTGCTTAGCAGCCCATTCAAGTAGATTTTGCTATACGCTGCCTAAAATTTCCTATTTAAAAACAGACCAGCTTCAAAAAAAGAAACAGAAATGAACTTGATGGCTCAAGTCACATAGAAACAACATGTACTTGTTCAGGTTAAAAACCGTAATTCTAGTTGCCATGTTCTCAGGCAGGAAAAATAAACAAATTCTTAAATAATGCAGCTTCACTAGGTCAGCAATAGGAGCATGAAATAATTAAGGGAAACTTAGCAGTAAGACAGATTCCTCACCCTGGTCATCCTAACACATATTATTCTCAGTATTCTCTAAGTCCTTCAGGCTGTCTTGGAATTTTTATCACCTGGCTATCATTTTCAGAGAGGAGGGCAAACATCTCTCACACATACACACACCTCTTCCCACAATTGTAGAAATTGTTTGTGAACATTTGGCCTATCCCCTCAAAAATGGGCCTTTTTATTGGAAGTTATTTGCTGCTAACTTATTGTTTCAGTCAAAAGCCTAAACCATGTGAAAATGTAGGCCAAATGGAAAGATATCTAAAGTTGGTAATGTTCTCTTGACTTTGCTAGACTCAAAGGGTCCAAATATGTCACCTAGTAAGGAAAGAAACAACTTGAGATATGAATATTGGCTGGATTATATTTTCATCCTTCAAAAACAAAATTTAGAAAACGTCTTAAGTAGAAGATTCTGATCAATCTTCTTTATGAAAGGACAATGATAAATAGCTATGGTGACAACATGCGTGTTTGTATTTCTGAAGTCATTCTGACACAATGAATAGATTCAACAGCGAGAAGAAGCAAATATATTTGAAATAGTTCTCTTAAGATAAGCGTAAGGAAAGGATATTTTCTTTTTAATTAAAGGGTGGAGAGTTGAATATTTCCTATATTTGTTTTCTCTTCTAAAGTATTGGGTGTTTATTGTGACACTATTGTGACACAGCCTTTGCGTTACGCTGTTGGATTTCTTGTTTAGTTTCATACCGATAACTCTATTACCAATCTTCTTCAACCTGGTTAAAGGTTTTTATTCTGTCATCCTGTGTCTGGACCACTGAATCCCCTACATCAACATCTTTCTTTCCAAACTCCAAGAAGCAAATTGAAATCTAATCCTGCGCAAGAGAAAGTGAAGAGATCTCCAAATCTAGAAGCTTTGTCATTAAATATTTACACTGGCTTAGCCCTGGAGGTATTTCCTTTTGGAACTATTCCTTTACTTGTTATTGCTGATTCCAAGATTCTTTGCACCCCATCACTAGCTATGATAGATAGGAGGAGTGATGGTCAGAATCTGTATCCTAAGTCACTACCGTGACTGCTGCCCACCCCCTGGCTTCCCAGAGGATATAGAACACCAAGAACACTCTAGACTAAAACATCACCAGGAGACCCACCCTTATCATACTAAACACTTTGGAGAAAAGTGAAAAACAAGAAATAAGAGTCAAGGAGGCCAGTCCGGCAAGACGCAAGAGTTTGCCTCTGTGTTTACATTTATTTATAAAAACTTTATTCTCCCATAGTGACTGGGAATATGATGATTGAGTAAGACCCATTTTTTTTTTAATTTGCCAAAATCTTCATCTGAAACCTATTGCTGGTCTTCCTTGACAGACATTTTCTAATGTTTAGGCTTATATTACTTGTTGCCAACACTGATCCAAAGAGGCTTCATATCCTCAAGTGTTTGTAAGCTCCAGATCCTCATCTATTCCGCTACTGGTTTGAGTCCCAGTTATATTAACGAGTTACTTTGATGTATACTTTGCCTATAAAATAGCAATAACATTTCTCTTCCTATAGTTACTATTTATTGAGTGTTCACTATTCACTAGGTGACATGTAAGAGTATTCAATGTGTTTTATCATTTAATCTATACACCTCTATGAAGTTGGTAATTTTAATCCTCCCATTTAAAAGATAATGAAGGCTGGGCAAAGTGACTCATGCCTGTAATCCCAGCACTTTGGGAGTCTGAGGCTGGTAGCAGGAGTTTAAGACCAGCCTGGCCAACATAGTGAAACCCTGTTTCTACTAAAAATACAAAAATTAGCTGAACCTGGTGGCAGGTGCCTGTAAACCCAGCTACGGGGGAGGCTGAGGCAGGAGAATCGCTTGAACCCAGAAGGTGAAGGTTGCAGTGAGCTGAGATCTCACCATTGCACTCCAGCCTGGGTGACAAGAACAAAACTCCATCTCAAAAAACAACAATAAAAAAGATAATGAAACACAGACTTAAGTCACATAAAAATTAGAGGGGAAACAGCAAGGATTTGAGCCACTGTATTATGCTATGGCTATTTTTGAATTACTTCCAATGTTTTCCCCAGTCTTACCACTTCTCTGGTAAGCCGAATGATTACCTAAGTGTGCATAATATCTTAACAATAACAATATCTTCACACAGCTTAAGCTAGGACCTTGGCTTATTTTGATAATTTCTCCACATTCCCCCCTAGTTCTCTCCTTTAACCTGCAGATAATTTCTTTCTTTTTGGTGCAAGTATTTAAGAACTGTTGTGTGCCAAGGACTATACTAAGTTAAATGAAAAGCTTCGTGCTTTTCATTTTTTGAGTTTTTTTAAATGTCAGTAGAAACCGTGTTACTTTATTAAAATACTGAGTTTTATTTCACATGTCTTAATAATGTCACAGCCAGATCTGGGGTCTTATACCCTCCCAGGAAAAAAAATGAAAGGATTAGTTAGGAAGCAGACTTTGATTGTCATGAAAATCTAATATTTGGCTGAAATCTTTTGAGTGGTCAAGATTGCCAGAAGAATTTATACAATGAAGCTCCTACATTTCCATCTGTTCCTTCTCTGTGTTGGTCCTCTTTCCACTTCTGCCACAGTAATAGCTTATTCTATTCTATTGTTTCCCTCTGTCTGCATTCTCTCACCCACTCAAACAGTGTTAACAGCCATGCATGGGTCTGTGGATATCTCCCAGGTCTAAAGCTTTGGCTGTGACCTGTCTGAACTCTAGACTCACATTCCAATTGTAGACTAGCACTGGGAGTTAAGCTTCTTAACTTTGCCCAGGGAGAGAACCTTCTAGGGACTTTTAGCTTTTGTATTTTTCCTAAAAAAAGAGAAAGAAACACGTTGCTTCTACCACCTGAGTCATAGGGATCACAGTGAGAAACCTAAGCATTTTGCTAAGTGGTGCCAATCCCATCACTCAGGAGCAGGGCCAAATGCCCCGAAAGCCCAGTATAATCATCCATTAGCAGTGAGATTTTTAACTGAACTATTGAATAGTAACAAGATAGTAAGCATGATTTACAGGCACTTATGATTACAGATAAATAGACAAAGAAGGAAAGAAAGAAAAGGGGACAAAGTCATTAACAAAAGGCATACGGGAGAACAGTTCTTAACAACTGGAAAACCAAAGGCAATTTTAGAGAGAACTGAAAGCTCCAAGTAAATATTTGCTCCAGAGAAAAGATACTATTTTTGTTTATCTGCAGATCCCCCTTTTTGACATTATTGTGGAAATTTTGGATTAAAAATTTTTTTGCCAGGCGCGGTGGCTCACGCCTGTAATCCCAGCACTTTGGAAGGCCGAGGCGGGCGGATCACGAGGTCAGTAAATCGAGACCATCCTGGCTAACACGGTGAAACCCCGTCTCTACTAAAAAATACAAAAAAAAAATTACCCGGGCGTAGTGGCGGGCGCCTGTAGTCCCAGCTACTCCGGAGGCTGAGGCCAGGGAATGGCGTGAACCTGAGAGGCGGAGCTTGCAGTGAGCCGAGATCGTGCCACTGCACTCCAGTCTGGGCAACAGAGCAAAACTCTGTCTCAAAAAAAAAAAAAAAAAAAAAAAAAGTTTTGCAGGCTCCAACATAAAGAGGAACAGCACTGTCCTTCTTCCTCAAAGATAAGTTCTGAAATAGAATGTTTTGTATCTTCTAATCAGAACATTCTCTTTTTTTGTTCTGTTTACTCCTTTGGCTATTTTAAATATTTCACTTTACTTAAGATTTAAGGTCTAAGATCTTTGAAACGTACATAATTTGCCCAAATGAAAAAAATTAGATCCTATATTACAATTATATGAAGAATTTATAAAGAAAGTAGCTTTCCCTGAGATAAGCTCACCAAATTCTCTCAGTAATATTAATTGGGCAGTTGCTTAGAAAATAATACTATATTAGATATTGTCATCATTTATTTCTCCTTCTCAGGATGAGTGGCCTTAAATCAGTGACTGTATTGGGAATATAAGTCAATATATAAAATGTGAAAGCTACTATACAATGAAATTTTTAGCAGCTGTTAAAAGTGATGCTGTACAATGATACTTAACGACTTGGAAAGCCATCCATAATGTAAACATAAAACTAAAAAATTACAAAGCACATATATGCAGATTTCATACTTTTGTAAAAAATACATGCATACCTGTACATAGAAAAGAATATATAGAGAGAGCAAGATTACCTTAGTTATTTAACAGTTAAGGATTTTTTTTTTTTTTTTTTGAGACGGAGTCTTGCTCTGTTGCCCAGGCTGGAGTGCAGTGGCACAATCTCAGCTCACTGCAAGCTCTGCCTCCTGGGTTCATGCCATTCTCCTGCCTCAGCCTCCCGAGTAGCTGGGACTATAGGCGCCCACCACCATGCCCGGCTAATTTTTTGTATTTTTAGTAGAGATGGGGTTTCACCGTTAGCCAGGATGATCTCGATCTACTGACCACGTGATCCACCAGCCTTGGCCTCCCAAAGTGTTGGAATTACACGCTGAGCCACCACGCCTGGCTGGTTATGGATGGTTTTTATTTCCGCTTTTCCTTATCTAAACTTTCTAAATATTCTACAACTGTATGAAAATGCATAATTTTTGGAATTAGAACAAAAATATTACTAAGTTATTCCCTGCTCATTCACTGCACCTGGAGAGCAAGGCCTAATGACAATCAATTAAACCAGCTCTCTTAAGACTTGAGTCATCCTAATAGTGAATGTGTATGATCCCAAACAAGCAGATGCACTGAGTGGTCCAGGGTTGTAACCTCACACAGACATTGCTGAGGCTTAGCCTCTAGCTTTTCCAGAGTGCATTCCAGCATCGTCCTTGCTGCTTTAATAGCTAGAAATGGTGAAAAGCAACAGATGGTGACAGTTATGACTGTCAGGATGCCAAGCTCAAGAACGGAATTTCTACTTCAGGACTATTTTGCAAGGATACAGTAATAGCTGGGGAAATCTGAGCATAAAGCTTTCTGCAATGCTAGTCTGGCGATTATATAAGAAGGTGATTATATAAGAAGATCTTATAATTTAATAGGAAGCATTAACATTAAGTTAAGAGCAGAACAAAAGTTCAACCAAACTTCTGGAGTAGATCATTGAATTTCTTTTTCTAGGCTTTCTTAAAAATAAAATCTAACTGAAAGCTGTATTTTATTTTTTATTAGTATCTGTGAAATGGCTATTATGGATCCTTTAAGTCAACTCAAATGATTTTGAATCCTGGGAATAGATTAAGCAATCATCAATATTCATTGACTAGCTATTTTGCATTTGCTATTGAAAGGTTATAGATACAAAACAAGTATATTTTTAATGGAATTTCTACTCTAGGTGGGGAGAGAAAATGTAAAACGAGATCATATAATGGGTAATTAAGTGTTAAAATTGCATATTCAATCATATTTTCTTGATAATGAGATGTACTATTTATTTAATTACAAGCTTTTGAATTGTGTTTCTTTTGGCATCAACTCATTCTTTCATCAAATAAATAGTTATGAGCCCCTATATCATTGTGGTCACTGGAAATACAGCAGGAACAAAATAAAAAAATCTCAACATTGTGGAACATACATTATAACTCGGGAAGAAAGAGACATAAAAGATATTAGCTAGAAGTGCTTCATAAGTACTAAGAAGAAAAATAATGTAGGCAGGTGGACATAAATGTCTTTGGAAGCTGTAGTTTTAAACAGTGTCACCCTGGCTAGGTGTAAGACAGTGCCCTCCTTCTTTCAGTGATGGCGTATGTTCCCAATGTTTATTTTCTTTTTGGTTTTACATTTCTACTTTTGAAATTTGTTCCTGAAAACTATCCAAGCTGTCTGTTAAAAATTTAAGTAGGGGCCAGGCTCAGTGGCTCATGCCTGTAATCCCAGCACTTTGGGAGGCTGAGGCAGGTAGATCACTTGAGGTCAGGAGTTTGAGACCAGCTGGGCCAACATGGTGAAACCCCGCCTCTACTAAAAATACAAAAAATTTAGCTGGGCGTGGTGGTCCGTGCCTATCGTCCCAGCTACTTGAGAGGCTGAGGCAGGAGAATTGCTTGAACCCAGGAGGCGAAGGTTGCAGTCAGCCAAGATCGCACCACTGCACCGTGGCCTGGGCAACAGAGCGAGACTCTTTCCAAAAAAAAATTAAGTAATAAGGTGAAGAAAAAAGTAGGAAATTTACTGCAGGTTGAAGTAAAAAAATGCAATAAGAAATCTTTCATCATCTCAGTGTCCAAAACAACTGCATTCTGTTATTTGACATTTATTTATTAATTTAAAAATAATTAATGAGCCTTCATTATGTGCTAGACACAAGATTTGCAGGAAGTATATTATTCTAGGTAGAACAGCAAGAGTAAAATTCCTGATTCAGGCAGGAATAGGCTCACTGTCCTGAGGAAGAGAGAAGGCCAGAGCAGTTTGCAGGGAGTCAAGGAGAGGTGGAGTGGTAGGAGATGGACTCAGAGACACAGGGATAGGCCAGGTGGTGTGCTATGCTTCCCAAACCTCTGAAAACCCAAGTATCCTCCAGAATGCTTCCTGAATGCATTGATTCCTAGGATCCATCCTAGAACTATGGAATCAGAATCCTTAGGCAAGAGTTCTGGGAATCTTGGATCCCAGGTGATGTAGGATATAGGCCATGGGAAAATGTTTGAATTTTAGTTCAATGGCAATAAGAAGGCAGTCGTGAATGTGTGTATGTGTGTGTGTGGGTGTGTGTGTGTGGTGTGATATGATCTGATTCAAACTTTCTGCAGATCACCATAACAAAAATGGGAAAGAGTGGATACAGTGACTAGTTAGCAGCATGTTCCAATAATTTATTAGAGAAAGAAAAGCAAAAAATCAGAGATAATAGTTTTGTTGTTGCCACAGGCTTGCTGTAACAATTATATGAGATAATACTCGCATAGTTCTTAGCATACTATCAATGTTTTATGCTTAGCAAAAAATAATTTACTTATCACTATCATGATATCTTTTGAAAAAAAGCTATTCAATTGTTCCAGTCTCACATGGTCAATAATATTTTCCCACTCACTTGTGATGCCTCCCTTATCATTCTTTAATTTCTCATATGGACTCAGATTGCTCTATGATTTCTACTTTTCCATTTGTAAATTTGCATGCATGTACTTTCAGTAGTTGTTGTTTAACCAACTTTCTTGTGTTGCAACTTTTAAAATCAGATTTATTCTCTTAGGGCTTTATATGCATCCCATCTAGGAACTTGGGACAGGTGTTCTGGGACTATATGGAAGCACATCTGAGTCACACCTCACATTACAGTAGGCTTTCGCATTTCACCAGTTTAGTATTTTGGACTTGGTATTATATTATTTTGATCCCATATACCCTTAACACATATTAATTCAAAAAATTTCCCAAAGCCTGTGTTTGAATCATGCTTTCTTTGAGTTTGCCCACCAAGAGCAAGTCACTTAGCTCAAGAATAAGCCTAGACATCTGCTTCTCCACAGCTCAACACAGACCTATTGTCCCTACTATGTAAGTAATCACTGTCAAGAAGTATACAGGCTACTGTAGTTTTTCACAAAATTTGAGACTTTTCAGGGTCAAAATATAAAGAATTCAATAGGTTGTACTAAAGCATCGTGCTCAATGGCAAACAGTCTGAATTTTAAGACATATCCTAGGGATCTTAACTTTCTCCTATGTCAGGAGAAATGTTAAATGCTGATTGAACCATATCTAGAGCTAAATGTACTACAAAAGTGTTGGCATTTGAACCAATAAATTTTCTCCAGTTTGGGTTGGATTTGTCATCACTTACAACAACATATTCCTCAACAATACATCTTCTATGACATGGCTGAATTCTGTTGATATGTACATAGACTAAGCCCATCCTTCGGGTAATCCACTACACAAATATAAAATTATAATTAAACCAATTTGTCTATTGAAAAAGTATCCAACAGTTATTTATCCACATCACACAGTAAATGCTACAGAATTTCTTTACAGTGGCAAAGCAATGAGAAAGCCGGACTTTCAAAGCCCTTCACATAATGTCTAGAGATTATCACTTTACTTATAAGATGAATCCAAAAGGTAGTCAACAGCAGAACAAAGCTGAGGCATGCCATAAACCCGAGTTTAGAATGTAATTAAAACCCATAGCTATCACACGTTTTTGGATTTAATAGCTTTCTAAGTCAAATACCTGACAAAAAGTATTTGCAAAGAATTTTCTGTGTCACAGAAACAATAGAATGTCTGTCTATATGTTGATCTGGGTGAGTGGTGAGCAAGACAAGAAATTTTAGGATTCTAGGATCTCAAGGAGAGGATCGCAAGCCCCTGGAAACTCATCATCTTCCTATGTGCTCACAGAATGCTTCCTGCTTCCCTAAAAACTGCCTCTGTATCCTCTCCTCCCTTCTCCCCCCGCTTCTTTTTCCCTTCTTTCCTTGCCTCCTTTCCTTCTCCTGCTGCT
This sequence comes from Homo sapiens, assembly GCF_000001405.40. Lineage (NCBI taxonomy): Eukaryota > Metazoa > Chordata > Mammalia > Primates > Hominidae > Homo > Homo sapiens. Next base: position 70,889,780 of record NC_000012.12, read on the forward strand.
CTTCTTCCTGTTTCTTCTCCTCCATCTTCTCCTTTCCTTTATTTTTCTTACCCATGAGTCCATCTCACAGAGTAAATCATAATCTTCCCATTTCCATGCCGTTTCACTGATGTCAAAAACCACCCCTTATATTCCCAAGCCTTACTAATCCTCAGTTTGCTCAGATTTCTGTCCAGGCTAGAACATTCTTCACTCAGCAGCCTATGCTGAACTGAAATGGCCTGTAGTTGCTACCATTCCACCATTTTCACTTGCACCTCTGGGTTCCCTCCTTCCTGGTGTTGTGGCCTTGTGTCTTGACAAATATCCTGAGGATCCAGTGACAAGAGCTATGGATTTTACAGCATACTTTCATCTAAAGCGGTATTTTTTTCCTCTTACCATAGTACTGACCTTGAGGCATTCAATATCTTCTCTACATTGTACTTGCACAGAAATCCTAATAACAGCTTCTTAATTGAGTTCCGGAACATAGTTAGCATTATTTGGGATAAACATTCTAATTGTGTTGTACTCTCCTTGTAACAAATAAACTATAAATTTTCCTGATTACTAATAAAAAGAAGAAAGAGGGAAAAAATTCATTTGTGGATAAATGCTCTTATGAAATGCTTTGCGGTGGCAATTGGGAATCAGGAAGGGAGGAGAGACACAACTTTCATGCCCTTTTTAAAGGTAGCATTCTAAAACTCATTGCCAATGATAGTTGAAACAAGAAAGAAAAAAGTATTGGAGGAAAAATGCTTGATCCTTCCTTCTGAGCTAGGAAGTCTTAGAAGTTACATATAAAGTTTAGAGGTTGAGTGTAGCTTTTTACCCTGGCTGGAAAAAAAATGCCTATAATTTCTCCAGTTCAAGACACTGATAGTCAGAACATGGTCTATTTGAGTATAAATTAAGTCTCAAAATAATTCTTAGTACCACTGCAATATCCCTCAAACAAGAAGGTCTGCATTGATGTATATGTTTTATACTCATGTACATATGATAAGCACAAACACACATCAATTATTCCATTAAAGTCATTATGCTGCCCCAGAATATATCCCTTGCTTCCTGTATGCCCCATCCATACATCCATTTTCTGTATGGAATGGGTCTTCAAATCAGCTGACATTTAATTGCATCACCCCTTTGCTTTTTGAGGAAGCTAAACATTATTGATTTATTTAAAAAATAACCCTGCCTCCCCAGTTTTGCTGCTAAATCATCATGCACATAAGTAATCTAAGTGGATTGCAGGAAACATTAGGACTGGCAATTGGTGTTGCCAGCTACCAAAGCCACAGCATGGTCAGAGGCTAGGGAAAGCTAATGCAGCAAAATTGCCTATTGCCTCTATGTAATCATCACCCCAAAGGAAAAGCACAGCTTCTTCATCAATCTCCAAACCACAAATAAGCTGAAAGTGAAATGACCTGCCAGAATTCCTCATTGGTGCCTTTTATTGTCCATGATATTAAATTAACTAGACAGTACATGACATTACAAGATAGAACAAGCCTCTTGAACTGTAATTCACAGTGACTTTAAGAGTTGATGACTATGGGTATATGATGGTCACTAAGGAAATATCTCCCATGAGCCCTAGCATTAACAGGAGCATCTCCAGATACAGAGACATCATTAACATCATTTATCTTCACTGAATAGACAGAGTACATGACTTTCACCTTCAGAACATCTGCTACTCATGTAAATGCAGAAAACTTGTTCAAGTATTTCAGGATGCCAAGTGACCCACATATTTTCTCTTAACAAGAGTTCATCTTGTGTTCTTAGCTTATGATTTTTATTGAATTATTGATATTTCCCTCTGGACATTTTCCAAGCAAAACAAGAGACTGTATTTCATTTGTCTCTGTTTCCAGATATCCCAAGGGGAAACTAGATCATAATAAATACTGAGTGTATGCTAGCTGAAAACATTGACGAATGGAACTTTGATTCTCAATATTAAGTAAAGTATACTATATGTAGTAGGTTAAAAAAATAAAGAAAAAAAAGAAGCTTGTTAGATTTAATTACATTTGGTGCATAGAGGAGTTGCCAAAATGCAAACATGGTTTCATTGAATTATCTTGGCCACACAAATCAACTCATTTGATTATATTTTGGAGCAGAGATGCAATAACAACCATTTAACTACTGATTTGTAGTTTCAATGTGGATCCTTCTATAATGATGTTAAACCAGAGAGTGACTGTAGTTCAAATAGGGTGTCAACCTCAGTATGTATTTAAACTATGATAACCTCCACAATTTGGAAACCTCTGACCTGGGTTATACAAGCAAGGGAACTTTAAGAACATAAGCAATGGGATCATTGTATCACTTTTATTAATAAAGAATGGTTATTATTCAGTAATATCAAAAATGTTATCTATCAATTACTCCCAACTCATTTTATTTGCTCCAGTGACAGAAAACTACTCTCCCTCTACCACACCTCCCCTTTCAGTTGTCTTATTTATTGTAATTTGAGTCAAGTGACCAGAGGATCTTCAATAAGTATTATTTATTTACACAGGCTGAGACTAAGGCCTATCTGCTTAAAACAGATTCTCACAGAAGGTAGGAGGCTCAGTACAAGATATAATCAACTATAATTGTAAGGCCTTCCTAAAGTAATCTTTTATTCAAATATTTATTAAGCATCTACCATGTACCATGCATTCTGCTATGAGCGGAGGATACAGACAAGTTTTCTGATTTCGTAAGAGGAAGAAAACAGACAACAGTCAAGTAAGAAATTAGAAGTACCACAGAATAAGTGCTGTGGTACATACCCGTTGGGATTCATTGATAACTATTCACAATCAGTGTTTTTCTTTTTTCAAGCATCAATGACAGGAAAGAATCAACATCAGCCTCAGCATCAGTTTAACATACTACTTACCACCACAATTACATTTGCTGCTGGGATTGGGAGATTTTCCACTTCAAGATCTTGACCATCCATGGCCAGCAGATTGAGAGACGGGTCATATGCGGGTCTAGGAAATGCTGAATTGACAATCTGGTGGCGTTTGCTTACTTGAGCTTCGGAAGAGGAATGGTAGCTATGTCTGTAGATTTTTTGTGGGGCTATATCCAGGCTCTTCTCAATGTCTTGTGAATGCTTATAAATGAATACCGGCTTCCCACTCTTCTTCTGATTAATTGCCAAAAAATGATCATTGTTTCCTGAAAAGCACCCTGAAAGAGGGAAGAAGCAGAAACAATATCAAAGACCCTATTCAGTAAGAGAGGTAGATATATCTGATGAAGAGGATTACCCTTTCTTGAGAGGCTTTAAGACTTGTGAAGGATTTAGGTTAGTCTCCATATTTCTTTGTCTGCTTCATGATCCTCAACAAATAGTATACACCTGGTGGTATGAAGGCCTCTCAAAGACTTTAGGTGGATAAAAGTGGGCGTACTTTGAAAAAGTTCTATTTTTCAGATATTCTGATGCCACTTTTACTAAGAAATTTCCTCCTTTATCTACACCCATAGTTTCAATACCTACTTGGGCTTCTATTCCTGGATGTCCTATCTGCTGCTGAAATTATAAATATTTTTATCATATTTAAGCTTTCCTTAAATATAAGCATTTCCTACAATTCTTATTTCATACTTATTGCTTGTATTACAATGAACAGTTTTCTTCACGCTTACAGAGTATTTAAGCTCTCTGAGGTAAGAAATCTGAGTGTACTTATTGTGGTAGCAACTTTCAGTAGTCCAAACAATATCCATCGTCTCCTTACTTGTGTAAGTAATATGGCCATCTAGATAGAGACTACATTTCTCTCAGTCTTCCCTGCAACTAAGCATTGCCATTTGATCAAGTTATAGCTATTGGAATGTGAGTAAACAGATGTTAGCAGAGATGTGATATGGCCTTCCTTTCTACATTTCCTCTTTTGTGCTGGCTGAAATGCAGAGAGTCTGGTAGGAGCATGAGGTAGAAACCATGTGTCAAAGATGGTAGAGCACTAAGACAAAATATTCTGATCCCTGATGAAAGTGAAACTACCATACCAACCTCACAGTTCCCACTCTGATTTTTAGAGAGAAAAACAATATTCTATTGTTTTACCTGCTATTATTTTAAGTATCTTTGTTAGAGCAATTGAATTTATTTAGTAACAAATACATTCATCTTTATTTCTTCTGTTAGATAAATATTCATTGCATTGAATAATGGCTTCTCCTGTTTGCTACTGGCCACAGGAGGAAACAGATAATACATATGAATCAAAAAGAATATTACTAGGTCAAATACCAGTTAGAAAAGCAAACATGAGATCTGTTTTATAACATAGTCCCTAGCAATGGTACCCCAGATTTTCACTGGAAATGCTTGTGGTAACAAGTGCTGTCCTTAGAAAATTACTTACCTCTTTTTACAAGAATTCTTCTCCAATCTCCTACTATTTTTATCTTTTACTTCCCAAATCATGCAAGCGTCTGTACTTTATTTTGTTTTTCTTGCAAATTTCAGCTATTTACATGCCCAAATTCAATAGAATTATCATGGCAGATCTAGTACTCATGCTACTGGGCATTTAAATTTCTCTATTTTCTCTTAGGTGAGAGACCCACGTTCATTTATGCATACAATATACCTTTCCCAAAGCACAGAATCACCTCTACATCAGTGGTATTAGAAAAGTAAACCAGGATGAAAGTAGTATATTATTTTATTTCTTAACCCCAAAGGAATCACTTCATTGTAGTGATATCAGATAGTTTTTCAGAGGGAAAGAAGAAAATTACTCTCCTTTCAGAAATGTAGAAACTCTTCTAGGACACTACAATATTATTTAGTAAATTATTTTTAGTAAAATAATAAATACACACCTTGTGGTCAGAAAGTTCATATACATCTAAAACATTTTGGCACCATTTTCCATTGATAAAACAGTGGTAAGAACAACAACATTGAGATATCCTGTTCTGAATTCCATTATACTACATATGTTCTTAATGAGAGTTTCATTTCCAAATCCGAGGAACTCATTTAATATGGAGAAATAAAATGTACAATTATTTAAGGGTCATCATTGTCCAATCATCATCTTTGGCAAACTATGGGTGGCTTGATTGTTTTAAAAAAGTTATGGTCAATTTAGCATGCTCGGAACTGAAGACATGATGATTAGTTTCCATTACTATTTCAGGATCCACATAAAATATAATTCAAGTGGTCCAAAAAGATAAAGCTACTGGTAACAGAAGATGATTCTCATACTATTATATCGTGGAATAAAGCACTTGGGCTAAGAAAATAACCCATCTTTATAACCCCACATGAAAGTTGAAGGGATACGGGTGAAACAGAGTTGCTGAAGATGTAAGACGTATATGTTGGTCACACAAGGCTTGATGGAAAGCAAAGCCTGTAAAAACTAGCAATTCCTCTACTCTGGATTCTCTATAAATAGTAAATAAAAAGAAAAAAGCAGCTTAGAAGATTGGGGAAAGTAGATATCTTAAAAGAGGAGAAATAACTGACAAACTGAGTAAATTACACAAATATCTTCAATCTTTCTTTTTATATATTATCAATCACACCAAGTCTTTTCAGAGCCACTTTATCTAAATAGAAAAGTCCAGTTAATAAATGCATGCTAAAATTGGCCTACCGAGAAAGGGACAAAATCTAAGTTGAAGCGCAATTGAAACACAATGAAAATTTTCCAACCTTATCCACTTGTCTGTGTGAATGAACTTAGTCCTGCCTTGTTCCTGAGTAATGAGTTCTAAGATAGCAGTGTAATATTAGGTGTCCTACCACAATCATTAGGTAAGAAAAAAAATTTCATAGTGCTGTCCTTAGGTTCTCTGTATCAGAGCTACCCGGGACATGATGATACAGTTTCTTAGACCCCAGACTAGAACTACCAAAGCATAATCTCTATAGATGTAGCCTAGGAATCTGGATTTATAATAGAATTCTTATGTTCAAACTCTGATGTTTGAGGACCACTGACCTAATGTCTGGAATTGGTTTTGTATTTTCTATCCTCAAATGCTACCTATTTCCTCCTTCACTTCAGCTTTATGAATATACTCAAGTAAAAATTTTGGAAAAGTGAAGACTGAGAAGCCAAGTTATCTATTAGTGAAGCCGTAATTCTAAAGCAGCCAACAATCATAGCTCTTTTCCCTCTCTCTCCTATCAATACCTGACCCTGGACTCAGATGCAGGTGTAGAAGCGCAAGAAACTCACTTCAAATATAATGATATGGACACATTTAAAGTGAAAGAGTGAAAAGCAACATATCATGAAAACCTAATCAAAAGAAACCTGGAGTGACTATATTAATATCAATTCAGCACAAAGAAATTCCCAAGGATAAAGAGGGACATTACATAATGATGGACATATGATGCAATGTACATAAGAATACATAATATTCCTAAATATATATGCATCAAAAATGAGCTTAAAATTCATGGAGCAAAGCTGACAAAAATGAAAGGAGAAATGGGAAAATTCACAATTATCATTGAAGATTTTAACTGTTCCCTCTCAATAGTAAGTAGATTGAGGAGAAAGAAAAGAAGCAAAGGCAAGGTTGTAAAAGAACACCACCATCAACCAACTGGATTTAATAGGTGTTTATAGAACACACAACCCAAAACACCAGAATACACAATCTTTTCACGTTCTTATGGGGTATTCATCTAGACAGATCATATACTGGGCCATAAAATAACACATGTTGAAAACTGAAATTATACAAGGTATACTCTTTGACCATGAAGGAATTAAACTAGGAATCAGTAACAGAAAGAAAAGAAGAATATTTCCAAAATTTGGAAATTAAAAAAACACATTTCTAAATATCCATGGGCCAAAGAGAAAGTCACAAGACAAATTAGAACATATTTTGAACTGAACTAAAATAAAAATATAACATATCCTGAATGGTATTGCCTAGGTTTTCTTCTAGGGTTTTTACGGTTTTAGGTCTAACATGTAAGTCTTTAATCCATCTTGAATTAATTTTTGTATCAGGTGTAAGGAAGGGATCCAGTTTCAGCTTTCTACATATGGCTAGCCAGTTTTCCCAGCACCATTTATTAAATAGGGAATCCTTTCCCCATTGCTTGTTTTTGTCAGGTTTGTCAAAGATCAGATAGTTGTAGATATGCGGCATTATTTCTGAGGGCTGTGTTCTGTTCCATTGGTCTATATCTCTGTTTTGGTACCAGTACCATGCTGTTTTGGTTACTGTAGCCTTGTAGTATAGTTTGAAGTCAGGTAGCGTGATGCCTCCAGCTTTGTTCGTTTGGCTTAGGATTGACTTGGCAATGTGGGAGGACTTCATGTCTAAAACACCAAAAGCAATGGCAACAAAAGACAAAATTGACAAATGGGATCTAATTATACTAAAGAGCTTCTGCACAGCAAAAGAAACCACCATCAGAGTGAACAGGCAACCTACAAAATGGGAGAAAATTTTTGCAACCTACTCATCTGACAAAGGGCTAATATCCAGAATCTACAATGAACTCAAACACATTTACAAGAAAAAAAACAAACAACCCCATCAAAAAGGAGGCAAAGGATATGAACAGACACTTCTCAAAAGAAGACATTTATGCAGCCAAAAAACACATGAAAAAATGCTCATCATCACTGGCCATCAGAGAAATGCAAATCAAAACCACAATGAGATACCATCTCACACCAGTTAGAATGGCAATCATTAAAAAGTCAGGAAACAACAGGTGCTGGAGAGGATGTGGAGAAATAGGAACACTTTTACACTGTTGGTGGGACTGTAAATTAGTTCAACCATTGTGGAAGTCAGTGTGGCGATTCCTCAGGGATCTAGAACTAGAAATACCATTTGACCCAGCCGTCCCATTACTGGGTATGTACCCAAAGGATTATAAATCGTGCTGCTATAAAGACACATGCACACATATGTTGGTTGTGGCACTATTCACAATAGCAAAGACTTGGAAGCAACCCAGATGTCCAACAATGATAGACTGGATTAAGAAAATGTGGCACATGTACACCATGGAATACTATGCAGCCATAAAAAAGGATGAGTTCATGTCCTTTGTAGGGACATGGATGAAGCTGGAAATCATTCTCAGCAAACTATCACAAGGACAAAAAACCAAACACCACATGTTCTCACTCATAGGTGGGAATTGAACAATGAGAACACATGGACACAGGAAGGGGAACATCACACACCAGAGACTGTTGTGGGGTGGGGGGAGGGGGAAGGGATAACATTAGGAGATATACCTAATGCTAAATGACTAGTTAATGGGTGCAGCACACCAACATGGCACATGTATATGTATGTAACAAACCTGCACGTTGTGCACATGTATCCTAAAACTTAAAGTATAATAATAATAATAAAAAAAGAGAATCCATATGTAGAAACCTATGTAGATAACCTGAATTAAAGCAATTAGAGAAACCTTAAAAAAAAAAAAGCCAGCCTAGTAAATGAGTATAGGGATTATGAAGTTTTTGCTTGTCTTCAAATTTCTAATTCAAAGTGATACTTCTATAAATGTGAACCCAATGCATTATCTTGTCAATATATGCACTTTTAAAAAGACACCTCATTTTATTTTAGTTGTTCTCTTATTTATATTGTTTTTCTACAGTTTATGTTTTTCTTTTCATCATCATTTAGTCTTTTTTTAACTCCTTGATACTCTTTATATAATTATTTTTACATATTACATATTACATATTCAATAAATATATATATTTTAAAAATCCTTAACCTATAAATATATATATACACACATATATATGTATATACATATATATAACATGATTTGTGGGATGCAGTTGAAACAGTGCTTAAGAAAAAATTATACCATTAAATGGTCTCAAATCAAAGGTCTCAAATCAAAAATATAAGCTTCCACTTTAAGAAACAAGAAAAAAGAGTAAAATAAATGTAAAGAAATTAAACTGTTAAAAGTAGAAATCATTACATTGAAAATACAGAGAGAGAAAAACGAGTGAAACAAAAGCTAGTTATTTGAAAAGATTAGTAAAGCTGATAAAACTCTAGCAAGACTGACAGAGAAAGAGAGAAACACAAATTTCTAATATCAGAAATGAAAGGAGGGATATCATTACGGACTTAGCAAGTGTAAAAATGTATAAAAAGGAAAATAACAATCCTCTACAAATAAATTCAACAATTTAGATAAAACGATCAAATCCTTAAAACCACAAACTATTGAAACTCACCAAAGATGAAATAAATAATCTAAATTGTGCTAAAATTATAAAAGAAATGAAATTTCTACTTAAACCTTTTCTGAATAAAAATCTTCAGGACCAAATGGCATAATTGAAAATGTCTACCAAACACTTAAAGAAAAAATAACATCAAATCTATATAATTTCTCCCAGAAAATAGAAGGGGGAACATTCACCGAAATCATCTGATGAAGCCAAAATTACCCTGATAACAAAAGCAGATAGAGACAATCCTAAAAAAAAACACTATAGACCAATATTGCTCATGAACACAAATGTAAAAGTCCTCAACAAAATATTAGCAAATTGAATGCAGAAATACAGAAAAAGACATATGCCACTACCAAATGGGGCTGATTTTCCTGGGAATGTAGGGCTGCTTCAATATTTGAAAAACAATCTACATAACCCACTCTACTGAGAGTCTAAAGAGGAAAAATAATAGTCATACTAATTGGTGGAAAAAACTATTTGACAAAATTCATGTCTATTCATAGTAAGAAAAAATTAAGTAACCTAGAAATAGAAGAGAATGTTCTCAACCTGATAAAAGGTACCTACACCAAACCCCACAGTACACATTATGCTTAATAGTGAAAAACTGAATCTTCCCCTTCTAAGACAAGGACAAGGCACCCATACCATTCCTATATAACACTGTATTAAGAGTCCTAGTCAGTGCAATGAGACAAAGAAAAGGAGCAAAAGACATAAAACTGTTCTATTTGCAGATGACATGATTGTCTATATAAAAAATCCCAAGGAATTTACCAAAATCTTCCTAGAACTGACAGGTCAGTTTAGCAAGGTCACAATATATAAAGGCAACCTACAAAACTAAATGGCATTTGTATAAGTTAGCAATGTATAATTGAAAACTAGAAGTAAAAAAAACAAACTGACCCAAAAATAAAATACTTAGGTATAAATCTAACAGAACATGTGCAAGATACATATATATACTGAAAACTATAAAATGTTGAACAAAGAAATCAGAGACGACCTAAATAAACAACAAATATACTATGTTCATGAATTAGAAGACTCTACATAATGAAGATGTCAATCATCTCCAATTACAATAAAATATCATTAGAATTTTTTGTAGATGTAGATATGCTGATTCTAAAATTTACATAGAAAGGCAAAATAAATAGAAAGCTAAAACAATTTTGAAAAAATAATAAAGTTAAAAAATACTGCTCAATTCTAAAACTTACTATAAAGCTATAGTTATTGAGGTAGTGTAGTGTTGGCAAAGAAATAGACAAACAGATCAATGGTGCAAAATAGAGATTTCATGCAGAAGCATGAAATTGGATTCATACATCACACCATATACAAAAATGAATTAAAGATTTCCATATAAAATCCAAAACAATAAAACTACTAGAAGAAAAGATAGGCAAAAATCTCCACAACATTAGTCTGGGCAATGATTTTTTTTAAATATGACCCCAAAAGCACAGGCAACTGAAGCAAAAATAGACAAATGGGATTGCATCAAACTAAAAAGCTTCTGCACAGCAAAGGAAACAATTAACAAAGTCAAGTGATAACCCACAGAATGGGAGAAAATATTTGCAAACCACACATCTGATAAGGAGTTAATATCAAAAATACATAAGGAACTCAAACAATGTAATACCAAAAAAATTAACCCAGTGAAAAGATGGGCAAAAGATTTGAACAGATATTTCTGAAAAGACGACTTACAAATTTCCAATAGGTAAATGAAAATATGCTCAGCATCACTAACCATTAGGAAAATGCAAATTAAAGCCACAATGAAGTAACACCACATACCTGTTAGAATGGGTTTATCAAAAAAGATGAAAGTTAAGTGTTGGCCAGGATGGGAAGAAAGGGGAACTCTTGCACATTGTTGTGGGAATGTAAATGAGTACAGGTGGTTTCTTTTCCAAAATGCTTGGGACCAGATATGTTTTGAATTTTGGATTTTTTTGGATTTCAGAATATTTGCAGAATATATACTAATTGAGCATCCCTGATTAAAAGGCCCAAAATTCAAAATACTCCAACAAGCATTTCCTTTGAGCATCATGTTGGTATGCAAAAAGTTTTCTATTTTGGAGAATTTAGGGTTTTGAATTTTTGAATTAGGGATCCTCAACCTGTACAGTCATTATGGGAAATGGTATGGCAGTTCCTCAAAAAACTAAAAATAGAACTACCATATGTTCCAGCAATCCCAATTCTGGGTGTCTATCTCCCCTAGATTAAAATGAATTGTCAAAGAGATGCCTGCACTCCTACGTTCACTGAAGCGTTATTCACAATAGCCAAGATACGAAAATAACCTAAGTGTCCATCAATAGACGAATGGGTAAAAGAGCATGGTACTGCTATAAAAATAGGCACATAGACCAATGGAACAGAATACAGAACCTGGAAATAAACCCAACTACTTACAGCCAAATGATCTTCGATAAAGCAAACAAAAATATAAAGTGGGGAAAGGATATCCTTTGCAAAAAGTGGTGCTGGGATCATTGGCTAGCCACATGTAGAAGAATGAAACTGGATCCTCATCTCTCACTTTATACAAAAATCAACTCAAGATGGATTAAGGACTTAGATCTGAGACCTAAAACTCTAAAAATCCTAGAATATTGGAAAAACCCTTCTAGATATTGTCTTAGGCGAGGATTTCATGGCCAATAACCCAAAAGCAAATGCAATAAAAAGAAAGATAAATAGTTGGGACTTAATCATTAATTTAATTATTAATTAATTTAATTAAGCTTTTGCATGGCAAAAGAATAGCAGAGTAAACAGATAACCCACAGAGTGGGAGAAAATCTTCACAATCTATTCTATTTTTAGTTTTTAAAGGAACCTCTATACCATTTCCCATAACACATCTGACAAAGGACTAATATTCAGAATCTATACAAACTCAAACAAATCAGCAAGAACAAAACAAACAATCCCATAAAAAAAGTGGGCTAAAGACATGAATAGACAATTCTCAAAAGAAGGTATACAAATGGCCAACCAACATATGAAAAAATGCTCGACATCACTAATGATCAGGGAAATGTAAATCAAAACCACAATGCAATACCACCTTACTCGTGCAAGAATGGCCATAATCAAAAAATCAGAAAACAGTAGATGTTGGCATGGATGCAGTGATCAGGGAACACTTTAACACTGCTGGTGGGAATGTAAACTAGTACAGCCACTATGGAAAACAGTGTGGAGATCCTTAAAGAACTAAAAGTAGAACTACTGTTTGATTCAGCAATCCCACTACTGGGTATCCACTCAGAGGAAAAGAAGTCGTTATATGAAAAAGATACTTGCAAACACACGTTTATAGCAGCACAATTCGCAATTGCAAAATCGTGGAACCAACCCAAATGCCCGTCAATCAACGAGTGGGTAAAGAGACTGAGATCTATGTCTATATGAGATACTGAGATATATAATCTATATATATGTCTCTATATATGTATAGCTATATCTATATATACACACAATGGAATACTACTCAGCCATAAGAAGGAATGAATTAATGGCATTCGCAGCAACCTGGATGGTATTGGAGACGGTTATTCTAAGTGAAGTAACTTCAGGAATGGAAAACCAAACATCGTATGTTCTCACTGATATGTGGGAGCTAAGCTATGAGGATGCAAAGCCATAAGAATGATACAATGGACTTTGGGGACCAGGGAGAAGAGTGGGAGGGGGGCAAGGGATAAAAGTCTAACAAATAGGGTGCAGTACATACTGGTTGGGTGATGGGTGCACCAAAAATCTCACAAATCAGCACTAAAGAACTTACCCATGTAACAAAACACCCCCTGTACCCCCAATAACTTATGGGAAAAAGAGAAAAGGTAGCATGTACATATAATGTAATACTATTCAGTCTTATAAAAGGAAGGAAATCCTAACCTTTGTGGCAACATGGATAAACCTAGAGGACATTATGCTGAGTGAAATAAGGTGGGCACAGAAAGACAAATATCATATGATCTCACTTATATGTGAAATCTAGAAAAGTAGAGAGTAGAAAGATGGTTATCAAAGGCTGGGACAGGGAATGGGGAAGGAATGAGGAGTTGTTGGTTAAAGGATATAAAGTTTAAGATAGGCAGGAAAAACAAATTTTGAGATCTATTGCACAGCAGGGTGACTATAGTCAATAATTTATTGTGTATTTCAAAATATCTAAGAGCATAAATTTGAAATGTCTCACCACAAAAATGCTAAACAAGTGAGGTGATAAATATGTTAATTGTCTTAATTTAATCATTTTACCCTGTATATCTATATAAAAACATCACATTTTACCCCATACATAAAATTATGATCTGTCAATTAAAAATAATGTAAATCAAAAATAAAATAACTGCTAAATAAAATTTAAAAAATGAATTCAGAGAAAGTATTACCATTTGATTTTTGATAAAGGTGAACAATAAAGGACAGCCTTTTCAAAATTACATTTAAAGTATTAGACATCCATATGTAACAAAATGAACATTTACCTAAACTTCACACTTTATACAAAATTAACTAAAAAGTTTCACAGATCTAAATGTGTAATGTACAAACTATAGAACTTTTAGAAGAAAACATAGAATAAAATCTTTATTACCTAAGGTTAGGCAAAGGTTCCTTGGACATGACATCAAAATCACAATCCACAGAGAAAAAGATAATCTGGATGGAATCAGAATAAAAAGAAATTTGCTCTGTGAAAGATACTGTTAAGAAAGGGAGAAAGCTAGCTAGAGAGTGGGAGAAAAATAATTACAAGTCACATATCCAACAAAAGGTTTGTAACTGGAATGTATAAAGAACTCTCAAAACTCAACAATTAGAAAACAAACCAGTTTAAAAATGGGCTAAAGACTTGAACAAACACTTTATTAAAGAGGATACATGAATGGCAAATTAGCAAATGAAAGTATGTCCATTTCTATTAGCCAATAGGAAAATGCATATTAAAAATTGTGATATGATATTAGAATTGCTAAAATGAAATGTACTAATAATACTGGAGAGGATCTGGAGCAACTGGAAGTCTCAGACCTTGCAGGTGAGAATGCAAAATGGCAAAGGCACTCTGGAAAATGGTTTGACAGTTTCTTGTAAAGTTAAACACATACTTAGCATATGATATAGCAATTTCACTTCTACATTCTTACCCCAGAGAAATAAAAATGTATATTCCCACAAATGTCTGTAAACAAATTTTATTAGCAAGTCTATTCATAATTGCCCCCAAATGGAAACAACTCAAATGTCCTTCAATGGGTGGATAGATAAACTATGATACATCTAAACAATGTAATACCACTCATCAGTAAAAAAAAGTGAGCTATTGATCCACACAACTTGAATATAAAAGGCATTAAGTTGAGCGAAAGAAGCCAGTCTCAAAAAGTCACTGTATTTTTCCATTACATGACATTCTCAAAAGACAAAAAAATATAGTTATGAAATACAGATCAGTGGTTATTTGGGTGTAGGAGTTGGAGACAAAAAGATAGTAGGAAGTTTTTTTGTGGTGAGCGAACTATTCTGTATCCAGATTGTGGTTGTGATGACATGAATCTATACATGTGTGAAAATTCATAGAACTATACACCAAAAAAGTCAATAGGTTATACTATGTTTTGTAAGCTACTTTTTTCAAGCGTAACTATATCAAACATCTTTTCTCATAACTAAATTTAAGTCTTTTTCATAAGAAATATCATTGATGAATTTATAAAAAGTAGTTTCAGTGTGTTGGGAAGGGACAGAAAGCTAAATTTAATTGAAATGAGGACTGAGTAGGAGATAAAGTAGAAACAAAATAAGTGGAAAAATCAAGTTTGGGTATAATAAGAGAGTGACTATGTGTTACCAGGAAGGAAAGATAGGGTTGAGGGATGTGTTTTTGGTTTCTTTTTAAGAAAGTAGAGATTTTGGCACATTTAATCCTCAAGGAGAAGGAGCCAGCTAAAAGGAGTGATCAGACATAAGAGAATGCAGCTGGAATAATTAGTAGACTGAACTCCCCCAGAAGATAGGAGGAGAGAGGACCCAGAGTACAGGCAGAGGAATGAGCCTTGGATTTGAGGAAGGTATTTATTTCATTATAGGTAGAGGGGAGGGAGATTAGGGATGTTAATGGGTTTGGTGTTGGAAGTTGAGAAAATTATCTTTTGATGGTGTCTATATTTTCTGTGTAGAAGGAGATGAAGTCATCTCATAAGAGAGTGAGGACTAGGGAGGAAAGATGAAAGGTTTCAGGAGAATGGAGAGGAATTGAAAGAGTTATTGTAAAGAAAGTTGATATGAAATACATGGTAGGATTTCTTGTCTTCATTGAGAGTTCAGTGACAGTTTTCCCTACCTGTGAGGGATAGAGTGTCTCTTACAGAATGTTTAGTAAGTAGCTTGCCAAAGATACTAATCTACATTTAAAATAAAAGAACTTTTATCATAAAAACAACATTTACATGAAAATAACCAGTGAGATTTGATGGTCATAAAATTGCACAGTTGAAATTGAAATTTCATTCTGGGTATGACCTTGGTAGCCTCTGAAGAGATCTTTAACAAAGGAAAGAGAAATGAATGAAATTACAATGTTTAGTTAGAGTACATTATGATTCATTATTTCAAATTCAGTGTTGGTTATTCCTGAATGCATAAGGTAGAATGGCCTTGTATACACTCTCTCAGAATAAATCCTCGCATTGCAAGTACTTAAGTCAATGTCAATAACTTGTGAAAGAAAGAATAAAACAGTGGTCTCCAAAGAGACTTGAAAAAGTGAACAATCAAAAAAAGGCTTTTACTGTGTAATCATTTTTTGAAAAGACAATCATTGTTTTGTTAGGAATGTTAACACCTTCTTCTCTAGAAAGGAGAGATAAATGGATAGCATCAAGGGCTTCCCTTGAGAATTTATGCATGAGAAATGATTAGGCTCCCATTTATTTGATTTGTTAATGCCTCTCAGGAAAATTAAAAATACATAATTGTAGCAATAAAAGTTCTTTTGGGAAAGGTGCCTATTTAGTATTGAGAAAGGAAAGAAACATGCTTTTTATTAAGAGGAAAGAATTAAGAAATAAAGGAAGGACCTAGATTCTAATTTAAATGACCTCCCAACTTCTCTCTTCTCGTCTGTGTTAGCTCACCCCAATGAGCCTCAGTCTTCTCATCAGAAAATGTAGGTGGTTTTTGCATATCTACAACTAGATTAGAAATATATTTCAGTAAAAAAGAAGCCACAATTCAGTTAGACAGATTTTGCATGGTCCTGATTTTTTTTCTAAAGAAATAAGTTTTTCCATAAATAGTATAAAAGACACTTTGGGAACTTACAGAAGCAGGGATTTCCAGAAATTCTACTCTGGGATGTAAGGAGGCTAATATTAAATCTATTATTTAGTTGTTCTATCATTCTATTGGTAATAGTAACAAGAGATAACCAGAATACTAATCTCCAGTTAAAAGTGTCAACAGTAATAACACTAAACCCCACTGATAAACATTACAGCCTTCCCAAAATATGACAACCAATGTTAGTTAGGATAACCTCCCAAAATACAACATATGCTATATACAAAGCCAGTTTTACAGAATTCAGTTTCTGTGCCTTAGTTATGTTCCAACAATATATGCATATGTATGTATATATTTGTATGTACACACATTGTTTTGTTTTGTATCCTGACACCAAATAACCAATTTGACAAAAATATTTATCCTTAAACTAGCCATTTTGTTACAAAAAGTTTTTTTAAAAAAAAATCAGTTTCTACGAGATGACAATAATTAAATTTGCCAAAATTATAAACATGGACCCAAAAAACACGTGGATAAACTTATTAAAAGAACACTTCCAAGGCTGGTCCCAGTGCAGTGGTGTTTACAACTAATTGATCACAACCAGTTGCGGATTTCTTTGTTCCTTCTCCACTCCTACTCCTTCAATTGACTAGCCTTAAAGAAAACTAAAATAAAATTTTAACACGTCCTTCCAGGACTGGTTTTTCTAAGATCCAGTCTACACACTGGCTACTAAGATGTGAAAATATAATTCTACCAGGAAGTGTTGTGACATTCTTTAATATTATTTAAACTCTCCACATATTTGAACAGTGATGTGTCCAATACATCTATAATAAAAATAAAGAAACCAATAGCAAAGTAATTGTTCTGTTTTTATAGTGCTAGCTCTGATCACTGCTATTTAAGAGAAGAACCTGAATCCCATTAGAGTAAGGGATGATTTTAATCACCTTGTAAAGTTTCCTCACATGTTTTTTCACATTTCCCAAAATATTCTATTAGGAAAAGTGGCTCCTCCTTCCACTGTCAGCCCAGCATAAATACTCTGGATATCCCTTACTTCTCCCTGTTTATCCATTGAAAGTTGAGCTGAACAGTGTAAACCTCTATTTGGGAGTTACAGAATTGACAACCGTTTCAGGAAAAATCCATTGTCTGCTATTTGCTGGTGGTAAAATTGCAATGAAAGGGGTTCATGTTTCCTGATTTTTGCCCAGCTTTAATAGAGTTATTTTTCATTTGATAAATATCTATTACAGAGTGGAACATAATACAATTAAAACGGTACCTTGGGACAATGTGACTAGACATAAGTCATGAAGAAAGAATGAGCATTAAGACCTTGGGCCTCAGACTCTGCTGGAAAAAGTGAAATGTGTGCCAGCTGAGGTATAGCAATCAGATGTCCCCCAGTTTCTGAAGTATTGAGTCAAAGGATACTGGGAGGAGAGGTTGACAGGAGTGAATGCTACTATATGTTAAATGTTATACAGCCATTAAGAGAGGACTATCAAACTACACCCTCTGGGAAAAGGCAGAAAAATGCTCATATGGCTAGAAAGCTAAGACTGCAGAAATCACAGGAGTTCAGTTCTGTTTGCACTCACTGAATAATGAAGTAGTACATTTAGAAACTAATTCTATACATCGTTCATTGTTATACAAACAGCTAAAATATAATTGTTTTCAAATAAAGATTAGAAACTATCTCCATTGTTTTCATAGCAGAGTTCTCCAGACAACTTAAAAACTGGGCTCCAATTTTAAGACAAAGGAAAAAAA
The DNA here is from genome assembly GCF_000001405.40 of Homo sapiens. Lineage (NCBI taxonomy): Eukaryota > Metazoa > Chordata > Mammalia > Primates > Hominidae > Homo > Homo sapiens. Next base: position 70,908,145 of record NC_000012.12, read on the forward strand.
AGTGTCTGTTTTAAGAATAATTCTCATAGCAGATTAGGAATTATATTAAAACATAGCAAAACGAACATTAGAACACATAAATATTAAAATCTCACCATAGTAATGATACTACAGAGACATTAATGCTTATATATTAGGGGAAGAGGAAAGTGGGTGTATTAGTCCATTCTCACGCTGTTAATAAAGACATACCAGAGACTGGGTAACTTATAAAGAAAAAGAGGTGTAATTGACTCACAGTTCCGCGTGGCTGGGAAGGCCTCAGAAAACTTACAATCGGCAGAAGGGGAAGCAAACACATCCCTCTTCACATGGCAGCAGGTGAGAGAATGAGTGCCCAGAGAAGGGGGGAAGTCCCTTATAAAACCATCAGATCTCGTGAGAACTAACTTACTACCACAAGAACAGGATAGAGGAAGCCGCCCCATGATTCAATTATCTCCACCTGGTCCCTCCCACAACAGGTGGGGATTATGAGAACTACAATTCAAGATGAGACTTGGGTGAGGACACAGCCAAACCGTATCAATGGGGAAAGAGGTCTGTAGCTGGCCACTTGAAGAGATCCCTGTCCTGGTCTCCCTTGCCTGTGTTTTGGGATTTGAGGGGCACTTGGTAGACCCTTTCAACACTGCTATTCCATCTCGTTCTTGCTCTTTCATCCACCATTTGAAATTAATGGCACTGGGCTAAGGCTCTGCTTTCTAATGATTCTTTGAAAAATCAAAATTAAGGAAGGGCCATATAATTAACAGCTATTCTTATCTGAAGTAGATCAGTGTGGCACATCCTTTCTGAGAAGAGATCTCTCCTGGAATAGGAAGCAGCAACTACCCAGTTTAGCTGAGGGTGGAGAAGAAAGAGAAAATTGGAGATTGAAGCTCAGATTAGAAACATAGTTCCCAAGTGTAAACTTCAAGACATGAAGGGCTGGTGGAGGGAGGACCTGAGGGGCGCTGCCAGCAGTGACAGCTGATGCTGCAGGGTGAGGTATTGGGTACCAGAGGCACAAGACAGGCCTGGACTGGCAGGAATTGATCCTGCACCCACTGGGAATTTGCTGCAGACTCAGCAAAACTTAACCCAAGGGGAGACAGGACACCTGATTCCCTAATTGTATGTGTGAGAACTCTCTTTGATTTCATAAAGTGCATACCCTCCCCCACCACACACACATCAAAGATATGTGGACAGGATTTTCAAATTGGAGTATGCAAATTGTGCACAGGCATGAAGAATCACTGTCCAGATCCTCAGCTTTTTTCTAAAATTTATCTGCTTCAGAATGTACCTATAGTCAGGGACACATTTCATGCTGGCACTCCTTTCCGGAACAAAGCATTTCATCAAACTTTACAAAAAAAAGGTACACCTGTAACTTAATCTGAACTGAATTTCTCCATCAGGGTAGAAAAACTTCTTTGAGTCTCCACTCAAAGGAACAAAACAAAACATTAGTATAAGCAAAGCCTCTGTTAATCAGGGCCCCCTTCACATAAACTCATTGTAGGATATCAAACTTTCCCTGTCTAGTACATATTTCTCTAAGACTGAAAGTCAGCATTAGAAGTGGAATGTTTTGGCCTTTGTTGGATGTTGTGGATTCATATAGTCTGTAGAGTAGGGTAGCAGAAGTGATGATACCGCATGTCCTACCCAATCCCTGAGACTGACAGATACTTTGTCAGAAGAAAGGTTGCCCGTGGTGGCAGTGCCTCTGGTGGTTAGAGGTTTTTTTTCTCTTATATACTTGTTTTGAAAGCAGGATTTAGTTTCTTCAACATGAACTTGCTAATTATGAGCATTTAAAAATTTATAAGACGAAGGTTTTACTAGTATTTTAAAAATTGGGACATGCTTATTTGATCTTCATAGCATGTACTCTTCACAAATGAAGGTTTTAGAGTGATTTTTTTTAATAGGTCAATAGTCAATGTGCACCATTTTTCTTTTTATATTTTCTTTTCATTGGTCTTATATTGCAGCTATAGGAAATACAGGACCAATGAAAGTTTTCACATGTTAATACAACTCCTACAACTACTAGTATTGAATATAGAATATATTCAGTGTTCCAGGTTCCATGCTGCAGGGTCTTATACATTAGCTTTTTAAATGGGAGAAGATGGGATTCGAACTCAGGTAGTCAAATCCTAGAGCCCAAATGTTTTTTTGTTTGTTTGTTTTTATTGTACTACATGAGTTAAGGCATATTTTTGTTGTTTCTGAAGTATAAGCATGCCATTTCAAAACATTTTTCAATCCTAAAAGGTAAGGCAATTATCTTACAAAAGCACCTTGGGTAGAGTTTAGCACATCAAAGGGATTTAGGAAATACTCATTTGTTATCTCCTTCCTGTCTTAAAAGGAAATCTATTTGTCTTTTCCATATGAAATTCAATGCTTGTCTTGAGAGGAAGACTTTTTATTATGTTTCTGTAGCTTCAGTTAATGCTCAGATTTAGGAGTTACAAATAACATGATAAAATTTATAATTTAAGCCCTCTAAATATCAGGCATTCCCAGTTTGAGGAAATAAAACAATCAAAAGTAACCAATGAATGCCTGATGGGAAATCCTGATGCTCTAGAGGTACAGAGGTTCCCAGCAATGCCAAGAGACATGCCCAAATGCCCAAGGGGACCAGGCTTGTGAGGACTCATGTGAATTGCCCTAGTGAGCTTCTTAAATGTCATGAAATTTTCAGAGGCACTGAAAGAGCTGCCAGATGTGTCTCTGGATTTGCATAGAGAAGTGAAGCATCATGAAAAAGTTTCTATAACTGAATTCTGAGTTTTCTTGTGAACTATGGGTCTCCAAGGGAGTCAAACTGAAGCTATAAATAATAGGTCACCTGAGGTAAAATCAGCAGCGAGAAGAGTCCTGGAAAAGCAGGGTCAGCTGAGTAGCCTGGGTTTTAGGGGAGTGGTGAGTAGTTCAATGAATAGGTTGTGGCTGCATGTGACCTTTTCCATTATGTTCTTCCCATACCCATGCCCCTCCTTCTATCCCTTTACATTCAAACACCCCTGTCTTGGCTGGTGTCTGCAGAACCACAGGCAGCCTTCCACATGGACCTACAGCCCAATGGTCTAGAAATTCCATGGGCTACAAATGGTAAATAGGATAGTATCAGTTGGTCAGTAGAGAAGAAGGATGGCCAGAGGAGTAGACAACAGATGGGAAGCCTATAGACCTATGAGCAGCATCCCTCGTCCATGCTTGAGCTTTTCACCCTTTGTGGGTCCCTAGAGGGATTAATTAGGAAGATGTATCCTAGGACAAGTCTAGACTGCCTGCTAAGCAAGGCAGTGCAGTAGGAACTAGGCACTTCAGATTTATGATGTTTATGTAAATGTTACACATTTTCAGTCACAATCAGGCATATCCAAGAGAAATTTTTATTTCACATTCATTTAAGTAGAACTTGCTGAAGACATGATGCTAGAATTCATGTTTAGATGAAACTTTTAGAAAAGGCATTGGGAGAGATATCTGCAGGGAGGTAGATATTTTCGAGCTTCATAGTCCACTACAAACCTGCACATATGGTCAGGCTCCTGCCTATAGCATACAGATGAAAACTATCAAGAAAAGGCTCAACTGAAAAAAAAAAAAAAAAACCACTCAGAATCCAGAATGTATCTAGGTGTGTATGCTTACCCAGTATTGGCATAAACATAAAAAGAATAAGAAATTCCTCCAAGGTACAATTAACCATTTATCATCTCCTTAGTCTAATCACGTAATGCCTAACACTTCTATGACACTCTCTAAGACTGCAAGTTTGGATATATTATCCCACTTAACTCTCAACTACTATGGAATTCTGCTAAAAAGTTATCTAGAAACATGACATTTCCCCTTGTTTAAATTTTCTCCTTTCTTCTGTTTAAGCTACTTTATTTTCTTCAGGGAGAATTTTAAAAATACCACCTTGAATCAAGAAGACAAAGAAACTAAATTGCTTATGATTGAAAGCCATACATTTACATTAATGGATTGATGGTCTTTCAACCTAACTAACTCACTATGATATTATGTTTGATCATTTTTCCCAGATAAGTGAAAGTCACCCAGTGGTGAACTGATTCTGTGCATTTATTGCTTCCTTTTCTCTCCAGTATGCCTCAGGAATTGGATCATTAGTACAGTGAAATAGCTGTAGAGTCTTGCTCTGTACATATTGCTGTACAGTCCAGTGAATCACTGTGAGATGCTTTTACTCTGTGCTCATTAAATGCTCCTTTCCAAAGAATCAGTAGTTTAGGACTGCCTGAGGCCAGTCTTCTCATTTAAGTCAGAAAATGGACATTGCTTTAGATCTGAAAAAAAGGAAATAAAAAATAAAATAGAAATAGGAAAAAATAATTCATGTCCCCAATGAACTTGGCATTTGCTAAGTTCTAGACTGCTGCATAATATAAATAATAGTTTTGCTTTGTTGTTGGTCCATGTGGCTGCAATTTTAATGGACATCAACATCTTAATATATTAAAATCAAATGAGATTTGATTATGAGGAAAGTTTATGCAGTCATTATGAATAAAAATGATTTAAGTGGAAAGTGCTAATGTTTATAATATAAATTTGCTAATTGTCCTTTTGTGGCAAATATCATTACTATAGTAGGCACTTATAGTTACATTATATGGTACATAAGCATTAGGAAATTTGATCTTAAAATAATATTTTAGCATTACATCTTTATTTTTCGAAACTACTAACATCCTTTATGTTGGGAAACATCAATGCTACTCTAAGTGTGTCAGCATTTGTAAATGCCTTGAAGATGAAAAATGCACTCATGGGCCAAGTAGAATCTTTCAAATCCCCTTTTAAAGGAAAAAATGGCTTTCACTAGCTTTTGAATTTGACTCACAGAACAACTTTTAAGATTTAACAATAAACTTGCCATAAAATATAACATCCGTGTTATCTCTAATACTAATGGCAATGAATGGGCTTTTGATTTGTGATCTGATCATCTCACATAAAGCGATTTTTAAATAATTCACAAAATAGTCTCCATTCTTCAGGTGTAAGAATGTCTTCTATGAGAAAAAATATGTGGGATCCAAAAACTTTATGGTTCTATAAAGACTGTATACACACAAAATGAGAGAAAAAATGTATACAACCACTCAAATATTCAGACATTTTGTGTGATGATTTGGTTTTTAATTCAGAGAGAAAAGGAGGGTTGAATAATTTTTGGTCTTGATTTATTGAAGCCACTGTCTCACACTCCCACCTGATTTTGAATGTGTAAATGTCTTGTATTTGCTATAGGTAGATAATAACCAATCAGTAATCAGGGTTAGGAGTTCCGGGTCCATTCTGTAGTGGACAACTATCATGCTATGTTGTTTATCTAACTCTTTGAGCTCTTTAAAGTAAAAAAAAAATCTCATTCTATTCTTAAGTAGTACTGGAAAATCATGCAAGAATGTCTATCCATCTAGAAAGAGTTCAGCACACAAGTACACTACAAATAGCATCATGCCCATGGGACACAAACTTATCTTATGGAGTGTATTTACATAGAAAATTTTCTGTCCCATCTCCATTTCCTTGTTGTCAATAAGTGTAAATTGCACTAAGGTGGCAGTAGTAAAGTCAATTACCTTCTTTATGGTCATGAAGATGAGATATAATCTCTTGGTCAATGTAAATTAATTTATCACAATTCATTTTAACAAATATATTTAATATATGTATTCATTCATTGAACACTTACTGATGCCATATTAGGTAACAAGCATAGTTCTAGGGAATAAGTATATAGAAATAAAGCTGCAATTGTGTTATTGTTCTCAAAAAACTTCAGTATACAGGTTAAGTACATTGACAGGGGAATATACAGGATTGAAAAGGGAAATGTAGGAGAGCTACTTGAATGAGGTGAGTCATCCAAAAAAAAGAAGATTCTCAAAGTGGGCTATGCCTGATCAACATTTGAAGTTGGAGAAAGAGTCATCTAAAAAAAGGAGCAGAGTATTGGTATTTAAGAGAAATAGAACAGTATGTGAAATGATTCAAGACATGGCAAACCAAAGGAAATTTTGTCTTAGTGTGATATTAGTGTGCAAAGGAGGGCAAGATGAGAAGACCTCATCGCAAAAGACTGCCTTCCTAATGAGTTTGGAGTTTATTCTAAAAGAAAAGGAGATAGCTGTATTAAAGAATTTTTTGGAGAAAGAATATGATCAGGTATGCTTTTAAGAGTTTCACCTCCGACATTATTATAAAGAATAAATTTGATAGGAGGTCATCACAAGATATTATGTGAGAAATAAGGATCTGTCTCAAGGCAGTGACATGATCATGGAGAGTGGAGAACATCTTATGAGAAGAGTTTGAAACCTTTAAGATGAAAGTAGCAAAGGGATGATCTAGGATCAATTATTTGTTTCAGACCTGGGTCATTGTGAAGAATCCTGGTGTTATTCACAATGTTAGGGAATATTTATCAGAGTAATTGTGTTGAGAAGTGTTGAGTAAAAATAGTTGTATATAAGATTATTGTGGGGCCAGGTACTGTGGCTCACACCTGTAATCCCAGCACTCTCTGAGGTTGAGGCAGGAGGACTGCTTGAGCCCAGGAGGTCGAGGCTGCAGGGAGCCATGATTGCACCACTGCACTCAAGCTTGGGCAACAGAGTGAGGCCCTGTCTCTAACAACAACAACAGCAACAACAACAACAACAAAAACAAAAAGATTACTATGGAATATACAATGACTTCTAGGTAATTTTAAATATAGAACCAGAGTTCAGGGGAGATAACTGAGATGGAAATGTGGATTTTGGAATCTTTGACGTGCAAGTCTGAGTATAATTATCCAGGGAGATTGTATACAGAGAAAAATAACAAAAAATCAATGACAAGCTGTAGAGAGCACTAACCATTAAATAATACACAGCAGAAGACCTAAAAGTACAAATTGAGAAATGGCTGGAGAAATAAGAGGGAAGCTAGGAAGTAATGACTGTCTGTGGAAGTCAAGTGAGGAAAAATTTTAAAATTCAGAAAGGGGTCAAAATATATAAGTACTATAGAAATGCATTGATAACAAGAACATACATTACAATAACCTCTTTAATTATGTTCAACCATAGGATGATAGGATGAGGACGGAAGCTGATAGAGAAGTAGGTGAGAAATAAAGAAGAAAAGGCTGAATGTGCATAATGCATCCCAGAATTTTTACAAGGTGTTAGGTAGGATGTGATTTTCAATGGAATATGTGAGGTGCTATTCTATTGGAGGTGCTAGAAATATGTCATCTCCAATATACATATTCCTGTGTCTCTTAAGTACCAAAGAAGCAAATCAGTTTTTTCTAGTGTATTAGACTCTCTGTTTGTAAATCAGCTGATCCCTGTAGCCATTCCTACATGTACAAGGCATTTCACTGAGAAGTGAAAATGTAGCCAATCAGCAAAGAATTTGGGCTGCACAATATCTGGCAATCAGTTTGAAAGACTTTTTTCACTGAGTTGATTAGTAGTTCTGGTCTAACACAAACCCATCCTTTATTGCCCTTCAGTTCACAATGACAGCAAAATCTGTTAGAGATAGTGTGTTTTGGGGGCATGTGAGGCAACATGAGTTTTGGACAAATGAGCTGTTTAAGTCCATTCCAGAAGTGGCTAAGTGGACTATGTGTGTTTTTTGTGGGTGTTAAGAAGATATTAAATGCAAAAAGAAGAGACCAGAAATATCACTGTATTACATTATTTATTTAACTTATTTATTTAATCTTTAGAAAGATTTTATGTCAGGAACTGCCCCCAGGTACTAGGTAGCCCAAGACCTCTAATACATGCAATAATAAACAAAACAGGCAAAAATATGTGCCCTAAATGGGCTTACATTTTAATACAGAGAGGGGAAACTACAATAAAAAAAGTAAAATATATTGTATGTTGGGTGGTGAAGACCTCTGGGGAAAGAAAAGTTAGGCAGGGAAAGGGTGCTAGAATTTTTATCTGGGTGATGGGGGGAAGGGAAAATGAAATATGAAATAGAATAACCTCATTAACAAGGTAATATTTAATTAAAGTTCTAAAATTATTGTGGGATTAAGCTGTGGAGACACCTGGAGAAAGAAAAAAGCAAAACAGTATGAAAGGGTGAGTGCCTGGCATCTTCTAGAAACAGAAGGATAAATATGGCTGGAGAGAGGTAAAAAAAGAAGAAAGTAGTGAGAGATAATATCATAGAAATAATGTGGAGAGAGACTCTAGACCATTGTAAGGTCTATATTGAGTGATTTTCAATAGGAAAAACAAATTCTGGAGTTCTAAGGAACATCTTAAAATCTTAAAATATATCATTTACCTGTTAGTCTATCGTTTCTTTTGAGGGTGGTACTTCTGCAAATCATCTCCCAGATCTTCTTGGCACCATCATAGAATACCTTTCTTCTCAGAGACTAGAGAAATTGACTATGCACTTCTCTGAGAGATTTTCAATAGGAAAAACAAATTCTGGAGTTCTAAGGAACATCTTAAAATCTTAAAATATATCATTTACCTGTTAGTCTATCCTTTCTTTTGAGGGTGGTACTTCTGCAAATCACCTCCCAGATCTTCTTGGTACTATCATAGAATACCTTTCTTCTTAGAGTCTAAGGAAATTGACTATGCACTTCTCTGAGAGTGAAGAGATAGTTTCAGGAGATACATTGAAGGCAGTCTTTGTGCCATTCAAAAAGGCTGATAGCAAGAACAACACAGAAATTTGAAAGAACCTTTTCCAGAACTCAAAGAGAAAGCAATGGATTGAAATCAGTTTCTGTATTTTGTTAGCAAAACATTCCCTAGGAAAAAGAAAGCTTTCACATGAGAATTTTTAATATATCTCAAAAATGTACTCTTTTGCAACTAAAATACAACACTATAAATAATATCTCCTCAAATGGAATATGCTTCTTTGGACAAAGGAAGAGGAGAAATGCTGAAGAAAATAAGCTCTGTGGATCTTCCACATAATATTTTTTTACCATTCGTATTATTGTGGTGGCTTTTAATTGCCTCCTTGAATATTCCTGAAGTGGTATTTTCAACTGGAGTTTATATATTAAACTGGTTCACGAAAGAGTAAAGAATAAGGACAGTTAGGTAAAAAGTATTTTGCACCACTAACTTAATCAATGGTGGCCTCACCTATTGTAGAACCAGTGTATAATTTTATATAGTATGCAACCACGGGTCTGGAAACCTGGGCTTTTATCCCGACTATGCTATTAACTACCACTTTAATACTCTAGATCTTCATTTTCTCACCTGTAAAATAAGCAGTTGGATGGACAATAACCACAACTTCCTTGTTAGGTGATCTATAAAAATCGGCTGCCATGGGTAGAGTAGTGTCCAGCTTCTCTAACAAGAACCATGCTTAGTAATCCTTTAGTGTTAATTTACCCAGAGATGCCACTTACACAGCATGGTACCCACTCCTCATTTTTCTCCCACAGCTATTATAGACCACAGTACTTCTCCCTAGCCAGAATGCGAGTCATAATCTTCTTTTTCCCCCCGATGGTGTCTTAGGCAACCATAAGCAAAATAATGGGAGATGGCACTCAAGTTGCAAGCAGTTTGCTACTTATCATTACAGGCATGGTTATATTGAAGGCAACAGTTCCTAATATAGCTAAAAAGAACACTTACATCCCGTTAGCACATTCCTCCCATCTCTAAAGCATTATAAGGTGTCATCAGTTCCACCAGCATAAAGCAGTTGCTGATACCCTGGGCGTAACCAAAATGGATCAATTAGCTTTACAGTTAAAGAGGCCTGAATGTATAGAATTCATTTCCCTTCTTTATGAAGTCAGCCTCTGTTCTGAGAGAAAAGTCTTCCATAAAAGTAACAAACTCACACCTTCAACAAGTAGAGATTAATATCTTGATTTCTTGATCTTTGTCATCCCATCCACTTATTTTCTTAATCTCCAAATGTATAGAAGCTTAGACCAAGGAGCTGTGTTTGTTTTAGTTCTGATGAAAAGCCCTAACAATGTTATTAGATAACTGTGATAAATTTTAATCTGATGACAGCTTGTGACCCACAAATTGCTGTTTAAAATTAAAATGCATTTAAAATGAAATTGGCAAGAGAACTATAATATTAAACTTACAATCTGCTGTGATAAAACACCAATGTATTTTACTATATTAAATATGAATACAATGAATAGTATCTTGCAATTGAAATATAAAAATGTCCTTAAATGCATTTTCTTATTAAATTAAAATTGGTTGATTAATCTTACTTTTTATCTTTGTTTTGCAAATTAAAAAGTTGAAGTAGAGATGGATTGGATTGGCTTTGGTAATATACCCTTTGGCAGAACTCCAGGTAAAATCTAGGGCTACAGGCTTCTAGGTTTCTCATCTGATGAGCAAAAGTCCTCATTTTTCTCATCCCGAATATTCATCTACAGTAAATCAAGACATGTTTTTCACATGCTTCAGTTTATTTATAACTTTTAAGATATAATTACTCAAGATGTATCAAATGTGATCTTTAAACTTTTTTATATGTTAGTTTTGAAAAAATGACTACACTGATATTGTTGGCAGACCAGCTAAATCATTGCTACCTTAGTAAGAATTGAGATTTTTCTGTAATGAATGTTTGTGTCAGTCTATTATTAAGCAATACTATAAATAAAACTCAACCCAATGTGTATGTTTTCATCCCACATTTCAGCATTGAAGAATTGTATGTGGTAACGAAATAATTCACTACAGCTGTTTGCAAATAATTTAATAATCAAGTCATAGCTATTTTCTACTTCTCAAAATGTGCCAAAGAACTATTGAAAACTCCACAATATAACATCATAATTATAACAATTAACATGTGTATTTAATAATAGCTTTAATAATCCTATGCATTATTTGCTCAAAAGATTCATGATACATTTAAATAATAGCGTTAGCTGGAATAAGAAAGTACCATATTTCACTCCTACTATTGTACACAGAGAATAAAATTCACCCACTCTTTTAAAAAAGATACTGCAAGGATTGTAATTTCAGAACAATTATTTTTACTCATTACCCCTAGAACATAGTATACACTCAGCAAATGTTGCTTGAAGGAATGAATGGATATGTGTGATTGGATGAGAAGCACACTCAGGGAAAATGCCTCGTCTCTGGTTGTTACAGGACTACTGCATGGACAACTGCTGTCACAGTAGGGTTTCTAAAATCTCCCTGCCATATTTTATTTTGGTTCATGTGTGTGTGACAATGATAAGGAATTCAGCCTAGCAAGTCTGTCTGCATTAAATAGAGGTGCTATGTATGCAAAAAGCAGGGACACCACATATAATATCTCTCAGGTACTTCCCAAGGTTTGCTTCCTCACGAGACTTGATATTGATTCTGGTGCCTCAAATCTATTTATATTTGGGAGCAGTCTCACTGTTACTCTTGGTTACACCTTATCAAATCTGTCCGAGGGACAGTGCCTAACCCAGGGTTGTCAGCTTTGGAACTGTAATTGTTTTTTTTTTTTTTTTTTTTTTTTTTTTTTTTAATATGCCAGCGGACGCTAGCCACGGTGCTGAAAGAGACAAGAGGATTCTATTTGAAACCTTTTCTTCCTCTTATTGGCTTAGAAAATTCGAGTGACAAGAGCAGGGGCCAAAGGAGCCTGGTGCAGCATCACTAATGTGAACCATGTATTTCGATCTTTTGGGCGGAGATGTGGTCCATCAGGTTACAGCCAATGCCTTCCTATGAGCGCTCGCTAGACCAAGAGACCTTATGAATGTAGTAGCCGCTGCAGTAGAAAAGGTTACATCTAGCAGGATGTCTTATCCCTCTCCTGAAAAATTGACAGTTAAGTGCATAGCCTAGAAACAAGAGCAGGGAATCTAGACGGAGGGGAGGCGAAGGGGGGAGCAAACCTGTATTCATATTGAAAATGTTCACTATTTTCGTATAAAGTAAAGAAAAATCAAGAGCTAATTTTAGGTTAAGTTTTCGGCCTCAGTTTTCCAACAGGTGCACGACTCCCTCACCCCTTCCCTGTCAGGTACTGTCCTGTTTTACCTTTTTAGAAAGGCTTTCTTCGCAAGGCAAGCTTTTCCTAGAGTCCTTAAGCATGTGCAGTTTCCCATCTCATGCACAGCTCCGGCTCTAAGCCTGGCAACCCCTTACCTGCAGCGTGAAGATTAAGGAGCAGGCACAGCGCAGGGAAGCAGACTGCTCTCCGCATAGTGTTTGCATTGAGAGGTGGAGGAGAAACTCCACCACGACCCCACTTCAGGTAAAGTGCTATTAGAAAGAGCCACCGCCAAGGGTCTTCTAGTCTCCGGGATTCAGGTCCTCGGCTGGGGTTTGCAGAGCAGTCAGTCTGTGGCGCCGACAGAAACCAGCACCAGCTTCAACCTCCCTAAGAGAGGGAGAGAGGAAGAGCAGTAGGAGGTTGCGGGTAAGGGGAACAGAAGCGCTCAGAGGCGGCAAATGCCTGGCCTTCTGGACGCCCAGAAGCCAAGGCGGAGACGGCAGGGTGGACTCCGCGCCAGCCCAGCAGCCCAGCAGCAGCGCCGCGGCTACTGAGCATGCCCAGCGCCGGCCCTCACGAGGCAAGGGAATTTCAAAGTGAAATTCCGCTTCTCCGGGTCTTAGCGGCGGCTTGGAGCAGAGTAGGCTCCATCGCTGGGGTGGTGGTTGGGGGTGGGGGTGGGGGTGGGGAAGGGGGAAGTGCGGGGGAGACACTTGCTGTGGTTACTAGGGACCCAGCGTCCATCACAAATCCGAAGGTGGGGTGTAGCTGAGTGAGAGTAGATGGGGGCACGACCACAGGAGTCAGAGGAGGGAGCTGATGACATTGTCAACCATGCCACCCACCCTACTCTTTCCCCAAATCTTGATTTACACGTGGACCGAGCTCACTGCTGGGAATTGGCATTTGCAGATTGACCAGCTTCCCAGGACTCGCCTACAGGAATAGAGGTGTCTTCCACTGCTGAGCATTCTGGCTGCTCGGGGGAAGCGTTCCCAAGGCAGCTTGCTTGGTGTAAGCAGTAACCATGTATCTTGGGGGTGACTTCGTCCTTCCTACAGCTTCCCCCTCTTTGCTTCTCTTTCCACTCTTTCCAGCTCAATGACTGTATTTAAACTTTCTTCTGACTCAAGTCCTCACAGTGACAGAAAGAAGTGAGAAGATACTTTTAGACTAGTAGAATATATCCATGTAATTGAAGCACAAGAAGGCACCTTTTTGTTTCGTGGAGGTAATTAACTTTAGTTTCCCTTTTACTCTTTAAGGTGAAAGATAATGGATCACGTCAGTGCCTGGACTCATCCGGCCCAGCTCTGTGTCTCTAGGGAGGCTACCACAGTCTGCCATTAGATGGTTTTTTATCCCTCCATCTAAGTCTTTGGAGTGTGGAAAGCCTTATTAGTCATGGCTAATTGCTGCTAGTCAAGTCAAGAAGTCCCTCAGCTAGACTTCTCTTTTAACTATCCCAGGGCCTCTGCCCTTTCTGCCTCTGTGTCTTTATGGACACTGTTGCCTCTTTCCCATTTTCCTCCACTTGCACCACCACCACACTAGTTTTCGAAGGTGTAATGTTGGTCTCACTTTTCCAGAAAGCCCTAACTCTAACTAACTCTAGATTACAGTGATCTTTCTCTTCCACAACACTTGTTTAGCCGTGCCTCATATTATTCTTTCAGACAGTTCATTTATCTGTGGTTTGTTCTACAGCACATTGAAGTCTCCATAAGAACTGCTGAGTTTTGTATTCCATTAACTTGAATAAAGTTGTCCTAGCCAAATAATTGGGGCTAACAAGTGCCCATTGAGTTGAGCTGCACATCTCATTCAGTGCTTTCTTTCTCCATCCTCTGTGAATTGAGACAACTAATGGGAAATAGGCTATCCACCAGAGCTTAAATTAGGTGGGACCTTATAAGATCAGAGAGCCCAGGCGGTACCATTTATTTCTTTTATGATTTATGTCATCTTCAGCTCTGAGAGACAAGGCCAGGAAGCACTCCAACAAGTGGGAGAAGGGGACAATGAGATGTACTTTTAATATCTTGACAGGCCTTCTCTGCTGAAAATAGAGACATATCTCCATGTCTAGCCCCTCTCTAGCAACGTGCTCCACCCCCTACTCCCCCATGCGTGTGGCACACTCCATTTCTGTGGCACTATCATTTCATCCCAAACCACTCTAAGCTGCAACCTCTTCTCCTATTCCTGATTCACTGTCCTCCAGTTTGCTTTTCCCGTATCACTTTCTAACAAACCAAAATAATTACTTATAAAATCTATTGTTTAGTATCTATTTCCCTACTCCCCCCCGCAAAACAGAATTTGAGCTCCAATGTTGAAGAACTTTGATGACTTTATTGATATGTCCCAACTCCCTAGAGCAATGCCTCATGCAAAATAGATACTCAAAAATGAATAAATGAAAATGATAGTTGACAAAGTTCAATACTGACAATTAACTCTTTGAAATTCTTACTGAGTCAACCTTTGAGATAATTTATTTAGCATTCTGTAAAGCTTAGAAGAATAACTCTTCTCATCTAACATCTGTTACTAGAAATGCTGCAGGGCTGGAGGTTAGGGAAAAATAATTGTATCCCACTTACAATAGGTCTATTTTTCTTATTTTCTTGTTTCCTAAAATAACTAATTATCAAACTTACATAGATCTCCAAGAATAAAATATACTTACTTATGGTAATGAAACAATGCTGCAGTAATGTTCTGAACCCCTTCCTTTTCCACAGATAATTCCAACATTTATTGGTGGGGCATTTAAAATTCCCATTATTATAATTGACTATGACTTTGCCAAAAAGCATCCTGCTGGCAATGTATTTTGTTCAGGGCTGCAGGTAGCTGAATTGTTAAACTATGCATGAAAATTCCGTTAGCAGCAAAAATTTCCAATTTCCAATTTGGCTGGATATATCATTAGAATAGTTAGTTCAGCATGGTAAAAATAACCCTGAGTGGGCTGTAATTTTGGTGACTAGACATTCATTATTAATTTACTTAGAAATGATAAAGTAACGAAAAAGGTCATATTCCTATGTGAGTCAATCTAATATCATACTTGTAACGGCTTCAATTCACTTTTTCACTAATTGGCTAATTCACTCATTGCTGTTCGTGAAGTCAAACAGCAATGAATGAATTAGCCAATTAGTGAAAAAGTCAACCACTTAACTCATACAGAAATATTCTGAGTCGATAGGTGCTGTTTTTCCTTAACTGTGATCTAATGCTAGTGAAGGTGACTTGGTGTTTTGGAAAAAAAGCTTGGTTAAAACACTGCATCAGGGTTTTAAAAAGTTAGCTGTAATTCAAAGAAGCATGGAAATTACTATGAGAGAACTATACAAATTAGTAGTGGCCTACAGAGCTATGTCATAAAAGAATCATTTACATTTTACAAGATAAATAAAAAATATCATATGGAATTTTCCTCCACATAAGATGCATAATTTCTTTTTCTTATGAGGTGAGTCTTAGAGAAAATTTATGCAAGAAAGAAGCTTTTCAGAGCCTGCCTTCAAAACAGATTTAATCATTATGAGCATCCATATTTACTTCTCTATAAATGGATGAAAATTATTCATGTCAGCCATCTTTCCTTAAGACACTTTAAATTGAGAAATCAGATCCATTGATTATAAGGATCTCCTACTTAAGTTATTTAGATTACTATTATTTAAGTATAATTATGGCTAACATTGACTGTGCTTCCTGTGTGCCAGGTTCTATTCTAAGCATTTGGATGTCCTATTTAAACATTATAATATTTCTACAAAAGGATACTATAATGATCTCATTTTAGAGATAATATAGTTGAGGCATGGAGAAGTAACTTGCCCAAAATCAAGTAGTAAGTAATCAGTTAAAAAGTAAATTGATAGAATTAAGATGTACATCTGATAATTTGATACCAAACCACTATATTATACTACCTCTAATAACACACACACACACACACACACACAGACACACACACACTCAGTTGTAGGTTGCTCACTAGAATTAGATGATTAGATCAGGGCTGGGCATGAGATGCCTGGCCCCACAGTAAAGCTCTGTGTTGAGGAACACTCATAGAAGACTGTCTCCAGGAGAACAAGAGACACTGCTTGTGGCAGTGGACTCTGGGCCCTAGCATCTAGTGAACAAAGACAGCAAGTAAAATCATGCTTAGAGGAACTGTGTTAGAAAGATGCTTAAGATAGAATGGAGAAGAATGGAGGAAATGATTTCTTCTATGGAGGGTGGGAGCAGAGGAGGGGATGGGCAGCAGGCAAGAAACTGGTGGGCAACAGGAAACGAACTGAGTCTGGCTGGATAAGTAGGTTCTAACTGCTCTACATGAAGAGAAAGGCCAGGGAATTGTGTGAGCCAGTGGCAGAGATATAAAGCAGCAAAATGGATTCAAGGAACTTCTGAACATGTAAGGGAGCAATAGGTAACAGTTATAAACACCTCACTAAGATTTGTTCTGTGCTTGCCCTTTCCCATCCTTTATGCAGCCACTTTATCAATCCCAAAGTCTGTTTCCTTTTGTCTGAGAGCTATCTTTTATAAGAGGAGAAAAGAAGAAAAATAATTTCTTTTTACAAAGTAAATAATTGATGTGAATTAAGCTATATTCAGAGTGGAATATAGCTCAGGATGAAAAGGAATGAATTCAAAATTCACAGATGAAAATACCATGTTCAGGTATATAAATTCACCATTATTATTTTTTAGTATTTTCCCAACCATAACAAGAAGAATGATCTACCCTTTCTCATAAGCATACAGTGAAGAGAACAATGAAATTGCAAGGGGCAATAAGAATAGGGGAGGAAAAGCACTAAAATTCTAAAAATATATATTATCACATTGAAGTCTCACAAGAGCTGTGTGAAGTATTATTTTTTTTTTTTTTTTGTAGTAGAGGAGAAAACTGAAGCTCAGCGAAGCTAGTAATTTGCCTATAGCCATCCAGTTGGTAAGTGGTGAAGCTGGGATTAGAACTCAGGTATGGTGACCCCTAGCACTATGCTGTTATCAGCTGTATTGTACAACATCCCTGCTTAATGACCGAACTTATTTTAATACTTAAATTGAAAACAGTGTTCTTATCCCAAGACACAGACTTCAAGATGGATAACAACAATTACATTTTATAACTTAACACAGTTGTAGTTTTGTTAAATTAAAGCATTTGATACACACACACAAAGGCAGCAATATGTATCCTAAGGAAAAAAATTAGGTACCTAAAACAAGGCAGATATACTTTTCTGTGCATATGTGAATTATGCTATTGTAGTAAAACATAAAATATGAAAAGCAGAAAGGCTATATGTACCTATAGATTCTGCTATTGGTTCATCATTAAAATTTTATTCAAAACGAAGAACAAAGTTTTCTTGGAGCTAGCCCTTGGTACCAATGTATTGTATTGTCATCTATTCTGGCACTGCAAAGGTCAGATTCATCCAAGATGTCAGTAATAGATTTATTTACAAACCTCTGACTCTCCTGCTTTAGCTCTCTGTTTATCCCAAGACACTAATCAGGCTGCACTTATATTATCCATCATCCTGAGCAGCACACAGATGTGACAGCCCTCTGTTATGGCTTAGACTATCTACTTTGAGCATTCAAATACATTTTCTGCAATGGTTGGCCATTCTTTTAGATTTCCTTGAATGAGGCCACTTTGGAACAACTTGTTCACACAATAGCCTGGGACACTAAGTATATCCTGGGATTGTAACTGTGGGTTGATTAGATCATTTAATCTTGCTCTCATTTCTCTACATTATTTTCTCACATAATTACAAGATGATTTAAAAGGACATCTCCCAAATATAGGCCTTAATGTCTCCCTCACTGACTCTTCATTCTTTTTTTTTTTGCATATATATATATCTTTATTATGCCTTAAGTTCTAGGGTACATGTGCACAACGTGCAGGTTTGTTACATATGTATACATGTGCCATGTTGGTGTGCTGCACCCATTAACTCGTCATTTACATTAGGTATATCTCCAATGCTATCCCTCCCTGCTCCCCCTGCCCCACAACAGGCCCCGGTGTTGACTTTTCATTCTTTAAAACTAAAAGTTTAAGGCCGGGCACGGTAGCTCACACCTGTAATCCCAGCACTTTGGGAGGCCAAGGCAGGCAGATCACCTGAGGTCAGGAGTCCAAAACCTGCCCTGGCCTGGCCAACATGGTGAAACCTCGTTTCTATGAAAATTCAAAAATTAGCCAGGCATGATGGTGGATGCCTGTAATCCCAGCTACTCGGGAGGCTGAGGTGGCAGAATCCCTTGAACCTATGAGGTGGAGGTTGCAGTGAGTTGAGATAGCATCATTGAATTCCAGCCTGAGCAACAGAGCAAGACTCCATCTCAAAATAATAATAATAATAATAATAATAATAATAATAATAATATTGAATAAAAGTTTAAACTTTTTAAAAATACTTATTTCTTTCACTCATTCTTGCTGCTGGATGCCTATAATAGAGAATGGGGTGGTTTATTAGTCTATAGTTCGTGGTTGCAAAGCATTTCAGAAGAAATTTTTTTTTCTTGTTAGACACCTGCACCTCTATAACATGAAGAGTTAATCTTACTAAAAATGTCCATTGACTATAACACAACCACTAATACACCCAGACAATGAAGCAGTTGTTTACGGTTTTAAGTTCGACTCATTCATCAGAAACCATATGTGATAGGGCAACACGGGTGCCTATGTTCAGTGAAGTCAAGTCATTTGAAGTCACATTACGGTAGGATATACTATATCGCATACATTCCAAAAACAGTGGAATCATCTGCCGACATTTCGTTGGTATGTTGCTTGATTTCAAATAATTAAACTATATATTGAGTACCTATGATGCATCAGGAAGTATATTAAGTACTTGGGATATATTGTTGAACAAAATAGACTAACATTTTTGCTTTAGCTTAAATTGTAAGTGAAATGTACCTTTAATAGTAAATATAAGAAATAAGTAAATTATATAGTATGATGGAAATTGATGACTGCTATGAGAAACAGAAAAAGTAGATCTAAGTAAGGGGAATTAGGCAGGTGGGGGTGGGGTGGGAGAAGAATATGAGTGCAAGGATTTTGCAGAATTAAGTAGGGTCTTTAAGTGGAGAAAGCGAGCATTGAGAAAGACTTGGAAGTTGAAATTAGCTGAGCAGAAACCTGGTTAAAGAACTTCCTAGGCCGAGGGAATAGCTACAGCAAAGACTCTCATGATTCCATAGATATCTTAACCAATCTGAAAAAAAAACCCCACAGTATCAGAAATAATTTTCAGCATATCTGTAAATATATAAAATATATAAAGAGAAATCCAGTTGGCAAATTGCCAAATTAGTTTAAATGAATATTTTTACACCAGAGATTTTCATTGATTCATGTTTCACTGATTTCAAATACAACTGTGAGATAGCAAAGCCGTTAACAAGATTCAGAAATTGGGACTACCCAAAGCCAACTGATGTACCAACTAAGAATTCTGCTCTTTATTCCATGTTTTTGGTGTAAAATAAACACCTTATTGATTTAGAAATGTGGGTGCCTATTTTGATATTTTATTCATTTTGAGAAACAAAGAAAAACTTTGTGAGCTGCCCTTATACTAAAACCACTAGCAAAAAGTCAAGCTAACATAATATGAATGAGAAATATAAGCAGGAAATGAGACCGGGCGCGGTGGCTCACACCTGTAATCCCAGCGCTTTGGGAGGCAGAGGCGGATGGATCACCTGAGGTCAGGAGTTTGAGACCAGGCTAGCTAACAGGGTGAAACCGTCTCTACTAAAAATACAAAAATTAGCCGGGTGTGGTGGCACATGCCTATAATCCCAGCTACCTGGGAGGCTGAGGCAGGAGAATCGCTTGAATCCAGGAGGCAGAGGTTGCAGTGAGCTGAGATCATACCACTGCACTCCAGCCTTGGTGACAGAGTGAGATTCTGTCTTAAAAAAAAAAAAAAAAAAGAAAAGAAAAAAAATATAAGCAGGAAAAGAATGAGAAAAATGCCCTAGCAAGCATTTTTGTTTTCTCAGCCTCCTGTGTGGCAAATGACATCAGAATATTTGGGTTAGTTATTGTCCAAATGCTGGAGGAAAACAGTTTGACAAATTCCTTGTTTCTTAGGATGGCTTAAGCAAATCATTTTGATACTTTATTATTTTTGGATGAAATAGAAGGTAGCTTCATTTTATTTTTAAGTAAAATTCCTTTTTTATTCAATTTAATGTGATAGGTGCCCATCAAAATACTACCTTACTGTGGCCGGGCGCGGTGGCTCACGCGTGTAATCCCAGCACTTTGGGAGGCCGAGGTGGGAGGATCACGAGGTCAGGAGATCAAGACCATCCTAGCTAACATGGTGAAACCCCATCTGTACTAAAAAAAAATACAAAAAAAAATTAGCCGGGCATGGTGGTGGGCGCCTGTAGTCCTAGCTACTTCGGAGGCTGAGGCAGGAGAATGGGGTGAACCCGGGAGGCGGAGGTTGCAGTGAGCCAAGATCGCGCCACTGCACTCCAGCCCGGGTGACAGAGCGAGACTCCATCTTAAAAACAAAACAAAAACAAACAAACAAAAAAACAAAAAAAACTACCTTACTGTTAATAGAAATAGAAAATATAAACCATTTCTCTTACAAAGGTGTCATTTGGAACCTCTAATCTTGGAAGTACTTTACTTTAGGAAAGATATCTACCCTCAAATTTGTCTTCCAAACTTAAACTAAAATCATATTTTATATTAGGTTTGTATCATAGAGATTAGAAAATGAATTCCTTTCAAAACCAAATTCAGCTCCAAAACTGGAAATAAAATGAAATTTTATTTGAATCAGTCATAAACATAATATATAGAAGCCCAATTTTACCTCACTATTTCTAGAAAGTAGGCAAAAACCAGGATGGTATTTCTGCAGTTTTCCTTCATCTAAATTAATTCTCTTCAGACTGAAATTGAACATTCTAAAGTACAAAATTTTGTAATATTGTGTCTATTGCACAATAGACAATAGAGAAAAAACAAAATAGAATGTGATCTATGGATTCTACCAACTGGTGACAAATACAGCTAATGCTTTGGCATAGCTGGTTTTCCTCTACCCTCATCTTGGGGATATGTGTGTCTTTGCATGCATGTACCTATAATTATTGTTAGTTTTAACATTATTTTTACATCATTGGGATCATGCTATGAATTTGGAAACTATTTCTTTACCTAATAATACTGTGAGACATAATTCCATGTCATTTAAGTTTGTTCACAATCATATTTTTAATTGTTGCAGAGCATCGTGCCATAGCATTCTATCATTGGCTTATTTTTTCAAGCCCTTCCTCAATTAAGGTGAATTGCTTCAGGAGAGCAAGGAAAGACATTCAGATAATGCTCACTTACTGTACAAAATAATGAAAATTATTATATATTTATAATATATTTCCAACATGGCAGTTCTAATCTGGCTCTGGTGAAACTATCACCCCATTAAAAGAAATTATCTAAAGTGTCAAAGCCAGGCATCAAGAAGGGGACATCAGGGATTCTGAGTCATACCTCAATCCCCGGCAAATTAAGGATAATCTAAATGTGTGCCTTCCAATCAGGAACCTGCCTATTTTAAGAATGATGGCTAAAAGCAGAGTTTGAATAAGGAGTCTTCATTTATCTTTTTCATGATCCCTGGATAACTCAATTGACTAACACTGATATAATTACAAAAATACCATTGTGTAAAAAGTACTATAACATGAATTGTATAAAAAAGAGTTATAAGTAATTGTGCTATTTCTTTTATTTTTAAAATTTGTTTATCTTTGCTTCTCATCTTTTTAACTTATTTTTTATTTCTATAGGTTTTTTGGGAACAAGTGGTATTTGGTACATAAGTAATTTCTTTAGTGGTGATTTTTGAGATTTTGGTGCATCCATCACCCAAGCAGTATACACTGAACCCTATTTGCAGTCTTTTATCCTTCACCTCCTTCCTACCGTTTCCCCATGAGTCCCCAAAGTCCACTGTGTCATTCTGATGTCTTTGCATCCCCATACTTTAGCTTCTACATATGAATGAGAAATACTATGTTTGGTTTTCCATTCCTGAATTACTTCACTTAGAATAGTAGGCTCCAATACCATTCAGGTTGCTGCAAATGCAATTAATTCATTTCTTTTTATGGCTGAGTAGTATTCCATCATATATATATATATATATATATATATATATATATATATATATATATACACACACATATATATATATATTTTTCCCCTTTTTTAGGTTTTCTTTTTTGTTTTTAAATTAAAATCTCACTACTGGGTATCTACCAGTAGTGGGAAATATATATATATTATCATATATATGACACATATATAAATATATGATATATATATATGATGGAATTTCCTTTTTATATCTTTTGCCTATTTTCACTGTTTTCGCTTTTCTAGTTAGTTTTTGGAAGTTATATATTCTAGAATTTAGATACTAAACTTTTAATTTCCATTTATGTTGCTAAAATATTCTGTCATTGTATTTTTTGTTTTATTATGTGTTTTGATTAATAGTTCTTAATTTTTTAAATTTATCTATTGACCTTTTGGCTATATATGATCTCTTTGTATCATTTCTTTAGTGGTTGTCCTAGGGAGTGAAATATGCATACCTCTTTCACAGTCTACTTAGAAATATTATTTTTTTACTTTAAGTAAAATGTAGATGACTTACAATTACATCTATATATACATAATTGATTTATACATATAATTGATTGAGATATATATATATCACAGTTTCTTTATTCACTTGTTGATTGATGGCCATTTCAGTTGATTCCACATTTTTGCAATGGTGAATTGTGCTGCTATAAACATGCATATGCAAATACCTTTTTTATATAATGACTTTTCCTCTGGGTAGATACCCAGCAGTGGGATTACTGGATCTTTTTTTTTTTAATTTAAAAACAAACAAGAAAACCTAATGATACAGCTACTCTCTCACCCCTATTCTCTTAGCCTCTGAATGTAACAACTATTATGATTTTGTAGTTCATCATTCCTAATCATATCTTTAAACTTTATTTGGGTATCCATAAACAATATGCAGTACTTTTTTAATTTTAAAATTTACTAATTAGAATTATGTTCCATAAAGCTTAATTGTTTCTACTTTTGTCCCTATTACAAACAGTATTTTTTATTTTAATACATTTTTGCATGCTTTCCAAGCATATTTAACATAGTTTCTCTAAGGTACACACATAAAAGTTAAATTGTTTCCTCATAGGCTATAACCATCTTTATCTTAAACATAAACCTTGACATTGCTCTATATAGTCTCAGTACCAGTTTGTATTCCAAACAATGTAAAAGAGTATCATATAGCTGTACCCGCTTATACATATTAGACTTTATAATT
Source organism: Homo sapiens (assembly GCF_000001405.40). Lineage (NCBI taxonomy): Eukaryota > Metazoa > Chordata > Mammalia > Primates > Hominidae > Homo > Homo sapiens. The sequence continues at coordinate 70,931,643 of NC_000012.12, forward strand.
ACTTTTCAAAGTCAATGCATATAAAATGGTATCTTATTTTTAAAATGTCTTTTTTTGGGCTAGTAACGAGAGCATGCTTATAAATCTTGAATAGCTATTAACGTTTCCTATTCTGTGAATTTCCTTTTTATATCTTTTGCCTATTTTCACTGTTTTCACTTTTCTAGTTAGTTTTGGGAAGTTATATATTCTAGAATTTAGATACTAAACTTTTAATTTCCATTTATGTTGCTAAAATATTCTGTCATTGTATTTTTTGTTTTATTATGTGATTGGATTAATGGTTCTTAATTTTTTTTTTTTTTTTTTGAGATGGAGTCTCGCTCTGTCACCCAGGCTGGAGTGCAATGGCGTGATCTCAGCTCATTGCAGCCTCTGCCTCCTGGGTTCAAGCAATTCTCTTGCCTCAGCATCATGAGTAGCTGGGATTACAGGCACACGCCACCACGCCTGGCTAATTTTTGTATTTTTAGTAGAGAAGGGATTTCACCATGTTGGTCAGACTGGTCTCGAACTCCTGACCTCATGATCTGCCCACCTTGGCCTCCCAAAGTGCTGGGATTACAGGTGTGAGCCACCATGCCCGGCCAATAGTTGTTAATTTTAATATAGTAATATTTATTAATCATTCATCTCTACAGAGTTTTTTTTCAGGTTTGTGTATCTTTTTTAAAAACAGGATTTTGGTTTTATTGATTTTTCTCTATTCTTTTTTATTTCAAACATTCCTGCTTTTGTTTTTATTAGAACCCTTTTTCTGTTTGTTTTTTATTTAACTTATTCCTTTTTTCTAGTTTCTTAAGGTAGAAGCCTAGATTCTTGATTCATGATTCTTGATACATGATTATTTTTTAAAAAAATAAGCATGTAGTGCTATAAGTTTCTATACAATCATTGCTTCAGTTGTTTTCCAACAATTTGTAATTTGTGTTTTCACTCAATTCAAATTAATTTCAAACTTTTTACATAATATTCTCTTCAACTTATAGGTTGTTTAGGATATGTTGTTTAATTTTCAAATATTTGAGAATTTTCCACATATCTTTCTGTTATTTGTTTCTTTTTTCTTTCTTTGAACCTATCGATGTCTTTATTTTTATTGTGGGTTTCTTGTGGGCAACATATAGTCTGGTCTTTAAAAAGAATTTTAAGATACAATCTGATAATTTCTATGTTTTGACTGCTTTGTTCACACTATTTACATTTAATATAAATATTGATATGATTGCACATAACACTATCATTTTATTATTTTATTTCTGTTCATCCTCTCTTTTTGTGTTTCCTCTGTGCCTCATTCCCTTCCTTCTTTTGTATTATTAAGTTTATTTTTAATATTTCATTTAAATTTATCTCGACTTTTCGGCTATATATGATCTCTTTGTATCATTTCTTTAGTGGTTGTCCTAGGGAGTGAAATATGCATACCTCTTTCACAGTCTACTTAGAATTATTATTTTGTTACTTTAAGTAAAATGTAGATGACTTACAATTACATCCATATAGATTCCTTAATCCTGTCCTAATTCTCAAATATATTATATCTACATACATTGAAAACCCATCAGACAATGTGATAAATTTGCTTTCAACATTCATACATATTTTGGATAACTTAAGAGAATATGGTCCTTTATATTTACCCAGATATAAACTATTTGTCTTTGTCCCTCATTCTTAATGTCTCACATTAACTTCTGACGTCATTTTCCTTTACCCCAATAAATGTCCTTTCGCATTTCTTTTAGAGCAAGTGTGTTGATAATTAATTCTCACAGTTTCCTTTTATCCAAGAATGTTCTTACTTCCTTTTCATTTATAAAGGAAATTTTTGCTGTATGTAAAATGAACGTATAGCTATACGATCAGCATGGGCCTTTTACAGGTTCTTACATAGAATTAGAGAGGTCCATTATACTTAGCTGGAATCTGTTTCCACCCATTGTGGTTTGTTTTTTAGACAGATTTTTGGGCAGAATTTATATATATTGTTTGGGCCCCCTGTTTTTCTTCCTTTCGCTTTTATGGGGTCCTTTCTTGATTTTCAGTAAAAGTTTCCCCAAATGACATTCCCTAGTTCTTTGTTTCAGAAGAGCTGCAGGTTTCTTTCTTTCTTTCTTTCTTTTTTTTTTTTTTTTTGAGACGAAGTCTCGCTCTGTGCCCAGGCTAGAGTGCAGTGGCGCGATCTCGGCTCACTGCAACCTCCGACTTCCGGGTTCACGACATTCTCCTGCCTCAGCCTCCCGAGTAGCTGCCCACCACCATGCCCGGCTAATTTTTTATATTTTTAGTAGAGACGGGGTTTCACCATGTTAGCCAGGATGGTCTCAATCTCCTGACCTCGTGATCCGCCCACCTCGGCTTCCCAAAGTGCTGGGATTACAGGCGTGAGCCACCGTGCCCGGCCTTTTTCTTAATGCAGTTGAGCTATACTACCATGTGCTAACTCTGGCATGCCCTCTAGCTAAATGCCACAAAAATGAGTAACTCATTCTATGCCATTCCATTCAAAATGCCACCTCTCCTCTATAATACAGTCTACCTACTTTTCTTTCCAGTACCAAGTTCATTTTTTGGTATCTTTTGTTTAGTGTTTTTGGTTTGTATCTGTGAAAGCATTGGCTTCTATTGTGCAAACCTGAATCTTAACTCAGAATTTTTTGTTTCTATTTATGTCAATCCTTTGATGCTTCCGAATATATGTAGAGGTCTTTCATTTTCCCCCATTTTACTTAAGGTTTATGATCTGTGTCTGTTGAAAATTAAAACCCAGGACCCTAGCTATTACACAATATGGTAACCTCCCTAATTTTCCCCTACTCTGTACCACCACTACCATCTATTCCACTATTCTACACCTCTTCTCCCTGCCTCTGTGCCAATTTGTGTTTATTTTCCTGACTTTCATTTCTCTGATGACTTTTTGTCACGTAGGGATATTGCATTATTTATTTTGAATTTGACTATACTTTAAACGTAACTGTCATAATTTATGTATCACTTCTAGGTATTTTTGTCTGGAAAACTTAAGGAGAAGTTTGTTTAGCCCACCATTTCATCAGAATAAGAGTACTATCCTTGCCTTCTTTATTATGTGGTTCTTCATTCTGGAACACTCTGAAGCAGTAGCATTGTATGTACTTGGCGTAACAGCCATTGACACTTGGTAGAAAAGATACAAATGAAACAGCATTCCAAAGAGTTAAAGAAGCCAGTAACTATCAACAGTTCTTGAGCCTGCAGCATAGCAGATTATAAAAACCCAACTTGCTAAAATGCTAAAACTCTCTGCCTGTAAGATAACTAAACTAGCTGAAATTGGTTGGAACCGATATGACCGATTGGAGTTTACACAGAATGAGCTTGCTGATGTTACAGCCTAAACTTCCAGTTTGTTTTATACCAACTTCCTCCAAATTTCCACAAAGGTCCTATGAAGAAGGATGAAGAGGTAACTGCACATTTCTTATGACTTTCCAGACCTCACCTTTCCTTCTGCCAAATCACCTACTAATCCCAGAATTCACCCTGTAAACCTTTTCTAATAAAATTACAGCCATAAAGCCAACACAAAGAGACAGGTTTGAGCTGGACTCTTGTCTCTTTGTCAGTCAACTAGCAATACAAAGCTTTTCTTTTCTTAAAATCCTGGTGACATATTGGCTTCTAATACATCAGGCAGTGAGCAATAACAATAACAATGATAATGCTGTTGGTGATTATAACTTTTGCTTAAAAAACCCTCTATAATCTAAAAATGAGGTATTTTTCTTGTATCCACATGTTGTTCTACAAAAATGTAATATATAAAATGCAACTTAGTGAGATCACCCTGGTAATCTCATATTGTCAACAGGGCATTGTTACATAACCACTAGCAAGAAGTTAGGTACAGTTTTCTCAGTATCAGGAAGCTGAATCAGGACCATGATTTTTTTCGTGAATTGTCCTCAAGAGCTCTGTAAATACATCAAACAGATCTGTGAAAGCGAATCTAGTTATTTAATAGGTTCTACTTCTAGTTCTACTTATTTAATAGGCCAAAAATGGCTTCTCAAAATTAGTTGCAACTGCAATCATAGTTACGTTTGCTTGGCTGGAAGAAGTCAAAGTCCTTTTCAAACTCTAGACTGGATAACTGTGAAGGTTAATTTGGGGGATAGAGAAGGTCAACAATAAATTGTATTTCCTCAATAATTTTGCTTGCTGATGTCACAGCCAAATAAAGCACATCTCTGCTTTATTTTTTTTTTTTAGTATAGATTGAATTTCATGCTTAGAAAACGTACCAGAAGCGTTGTTTTCTTTTGGTCGATAAAGAACATGATTAATTGATACCCTTCACTCAATGTGTATCCTGGCCAGTTTATTTTTCTCTGTTCTACCACCAGAAGCACACCATTTTTTTTTTGATCAGCTATTTCATAAATATGTGTGCTACTTATCACTAAGACTTGCCCCAATAAGCAAGAAGACATGGATTAACAACAATGTCACCCTACTCTCATAAGGATTTTTCAAAGCAGTGTAATCCTCTTACATCAAAAGTATTATCAGCTCTGCCTTCAAGCTTATTATACATGGTCATGAAACCGTGCTCCAAAGAGTTAAAGACACTGATGACTAACCAATCCTCGAGTTTGCAGGATGGCAGATAAAAAAAGAAACAACTTGCTGACACACAGACACTCCCTCCACTTGTAAGAGAATAAAACTGGCTGAAATCATTTGGAACCAATATGGCCAACTGGAGTTTATGCAGAATGAGCTTGCTGACATCACAGCCTGAATTCACACCGCATATTTTATACTAACTCCACTTGAATTTACACATACAATCCATGAGGTAGCAAAAAGAGATGACTGTGCATTCCCAGAGATGTTCCAGACCTCTCCTTTCCTTCCACCAGTCACCTACTAATCTCAGAATCCACCCACTAAATGTTTTCTAATGAAATTACTCCCATCAAGCCAGCACAGGGAGACAGATCTGAGCTGTACTCCTGTCTCCTTGCTAGCTGACTTGCAATAAGAAGCTTTTCTTTTCTCTAAAACCTGGTTTCATAGTATGGCTTCCAGGATATTTGGCAGGGAATCCCTTTTGCTTGGTAACCATCATTGGGAGCCACTGGTAATTTGATGTATGCAAGAAAGGAATATGCAGGTCACTTAGGAGTGCTTCACAGGCAGACATTTGCTCCTCTTGTCAGACATTGCTTGAAGAAGATTTTTGCTGAAAGCTTTCTATTGAGTTTTGGTTAAATAACTTGGCAATGAGTAAACAAAAAATTTTCATTTTGATATTTGTATTAACGATTTTTGGCTCAACATTTGAAATCCTTGAAATTGGAGATCTTCGATGCTTTGTTGGTTTCATCCTATGATACTCTGGGATTTTTCTGGTATAAAGTTTTACCAAGTTTTAGAAAACCACAATCCAATAAAATTTAACTGGAAGTAGAAAACACAATGATACTGATAAGATACCAATGATGTGTGGATATTTCTCTTTTTTCTCTCATTCTACACCAGAATTATTGTCAAAAGAGGAGTATAAAGGTATTCTCTTCCTGAAACTCAGGTAAATAGGACAAAGTTCAGAAAATTCTCTAGAGACAGGTCGCAGTATTTCCTGATAACTGATTTTTTTATACCATTTCATTTCAACTACCTTAATATTATGCACAAAATTCATAGATACATTTCATTTATACAACTTGACTGTGAATGAAAGGAAAGAACTATTGTGATAGCTGGAGGATAACATAATTTGTTTTTTCTTCTGGAGAAAGGGGAGGAATAAAACACCAAAAGCAATGGCAACAAAAGCCAAAATTGTCAGTTGGGATCTAATTAAACTAAAGAGCTTCTGCACAGCAAAAGAAACTATCATCAGACTGAACAGGCAACCTGCAGGACGGGAGAAAATTTTTGCAATCTATCCATCTGACAAAGGGCTAATATCCAGAATCTACAAAGAACTTAAACACATTTATGAGAAAAAAACAAACAACCCCATCGAAAAGTGGGCAAAGGATATGAACAGACACTTCTCAAAAGAAGACATTCATGCAGCCAACAAACATATGAAGAAAAAAGCTCATTATCACTGGTCATTAGAGAAACGCAAATAAAAACCATAATGAGATACCATCTCACGCTAAATAGAATGGCGATCATTAAAAAGTCAGGAAACAACAGATGCTGGAGAGGATGTGGAGAAATAGTAGGGGAGAGGGTGACATTACTCCCAGTATCACAGGGGCTGCCCACCCTTCTGTAATATTTTTCATAATATTCAAAGGTGGAGAGGATGATATTACTTCTAATATCACAGGTGGTGTACACCCCCCTGTGATATTTTTCTAATATTCAGGGGTCGGAGGATGATATTACTCCCAAAATCGCAGGGGGTGTACAACCCCTGTGATATTGTTTCTAATATCCAGGTATGGAGAGAATGATATTTCTCAAAATATCACGGGGTTGTAGACCCCTCTTGTAATATTGTTCCCAATATCCAGGTTGAGAGGAGATGATACTACTCACAATATCGCACTGGGTAGAGGCCCCTTCTGTGATATTGTTCCTAATATCCAGGGGAGGAGAATAGGATATTATTCCCAATATATATGAGGGACTGTACACCCCCCCTTTGATATCACACTTCCTGCAAAATTGGGAATAATATCCTCTCCCTTCATTGATATTAGGAACAATACCACAGAGGAGGTGTTCACCACCTGTGATATGAGGTGTAGTATCATAATCTCTTTCATGGATATTAAAAACAATATCACAGAAGGGGTGTAGACCCCCTGTGATACTGGGAGTAATATCATCCTCCTCTTACCTGGATATTGGGAACAATAACACAGGGAAGGTATACACTCCCTGCAATATTGGGAGTAATATTCTTCCTGCCCCCTGGATATTAGGGACAATAAATATCACATGGGAGGTGAACACCCCTGCGATAATGGGAGTTATACTCTCCTCCCTTAAATATTAGGAACAATATCACATAGGGAGTATACATTTCCTGCGATATTGAGAGTAATATTATCCTTTTTCGCATGGATGTTAGGTACAATATCACATGGGTGGTGTACAGCACCTGCGATATTGGGAGTAATATCACCCTCTTTCCTCCTGGATATTAGAAAAAGTATCACATGGGAGGTGTACACCCACTGTGATATTGAAAGTAATATGATTCTCTCCCCATGTGGATATTAGAAATAATATATCAGGGCGTTGTACACTTCCTGTGATATTGGAAATAATATCATACTCCCCCCCACTTGATATTAGGAACAATATCCCAGAGGGGGTTACACTTCCTGCAATATTGGGAATAATAGCATCCTCTCCCTTCTTGGATATTACGAACGATATCATAAAAGGGGTGAGCACTCCGTGCAATATTGGGTATAATATCATCCTCTCCCCTCATGGATATTACTAACCAGATCACAGGGGGTTGTACACACACCCTGATATGGGGAGTAATGTCACCCCCACCCCTCCTGCATATTAAGAACTAGATAACAGGGGAGTGTTCACTTTTCACGATATGGGGAGTAATATCACCCTCTCCCCTCCTAGATATTAGTAACAATACCACAGCGGGGGTGTACATCTCCTGCAATATTGGGAGTAATATCGACCTCTTCCCCACTGAATAATAGAAGCAATATAACAAGGGGGATGAACACCCCCTGTGATATTGCAAGTAAGATCATCCTTTCCCTTCTTGAATGTTAGGAACAATATAACAGAGGGGTGTACACCCCCTGCGATATTGGAAATAAAACATCCTCTCCCCCCTGGATATTACGAACAATATACATGGGGTTGTACACCCCCTGAGATATTTGGAGTAATATCCACTCTTCACCTGGTTATTGAAAATAATATTACGGCGTGGGGCGGTGTACACCCCCTGGGATATTGGGAGTAATATAATTCTCTCTCCTTTTGGATATTAGAAACAATGTTACAGGGGAGGTCTACCCCTTCGGCGATATTTAGAGTAATATCAACCTCTACCCCCTGGATATTAGGAAAAATATCACAGAGGGTGTGTATATTCCCTGTGATTTTGGGAGTAATATCATCCTCTCCCGCCCTGGATATTAGGAACAATATCACAGGGGGGATTGTGTACACCATTTGTGACATTGGGAGTAATATTATCTTTCCCCCCACTGGATATTATGAGCAATGTCATAGAGGGGGTATACACCCCCTGCAATATTGAGAGTAATATCATCCTCTCCCTTATGGATATTAGAAACAATATCACAGGGGAGATGTACAGCCCCTGGAATATTGGGAGTAATGGCATTCTCTACCCCACTGGATATGAGAAACAATACCACAGGGTGGGTATACACTCCCTGTGATATTGGCAGTAATATCACCCTCTCCCTGCCTGGATATAAGAAACAATATCACAGGCAGGGTTTACATCACCTGCAATATTGAGAATAATATCATCCTCTTTCTCCCTGTATATTAGAAACCATATCACAGCGGGTGTGTACACCCCCTGAGACATTTGTAGTAATATCATCTTCTACCTACAAGGATATTAGAAACAATATCCCAGCGGGGGTGTACACCCCCTGAGAAATTTGTGAGTAAAATCCTTTACTTCACCTGGTTATTAGGAACAAGATCACAGGGGTTTGTACATCCCTGAGATATTGGGAGTAATATCACTCTGTCCATCCCCCCCCGGATATTAGGAACAATATCACAGGGAAGGTGTACACCCCTTGAAATATTGGGATCAATATTATCCTCTCCCCAGTTGGATATTAGGGACAATATCACGGAGAGGGTATACACCCCTGCGATATTGAGAGTAAAATCATCCTTTCCACCCCTGGATATCAAAAAACAATATGACAGGGTGGGTGTACACTCCTTTCGATATTGGGAGTAATATAATCCTCTCCCCTTCTGGATATTAGAAACAACATTATGCAGGGCGCGTGCACGCCTAAGATATTTGGAGTAATATCATCCTCCATCAGCCAGAATATTAGAAACAATATTACAGGAGCGATGTATACCCCCTGCGATACTGGGAGTAAGTTCATCCTCTCCCCCCTTGGATATTAGGAACAGTATCACAGGTGGGCTGTACAGTCCCTGCAATATTGGGAGTAATGTCATCCTGACCTCCCTAGATATTAGGAGTAATATCACATGGAGGGTGTCCACCCCCAACGAAAATTGAATGTAACAAAATTTTTCCCCTCTCTGCATATTAGGAACAATATCCCAGAGGTAGTGTATACTCCTGTGATATTGGGAGTAATATCATCCTCTCTCTCCTTGCATATTAGGAATATCATAGGGGATGTACATCCCGTGCAATATTTGGGGTAATAACATCCTCTCAGTCTCTGGATATTAGGAACAATATCACAGAGGAGATGTACACTTCCAGCGACATTGGGAGTAATATCATCCTTTCCCTCCTTGGATATTAAAAAAAAAATCACAGGGGTTGTACACCTACTGCGATATTGGGAGTAATATCTTCCTCTGAGCCCCTGGATACTAAAAACTATAATACTGATGGGGTGAACATCCCCTGAGGTTTTGGGAGTAATATCAATCTCTCCTCGCTTGGAAATTCAGAAATAATCACAGCGCGGGTGTATACTTCCTATGATACTGGGAGTAATATCATCCTGGAGCCACCTGGATATTAGAAACAATATCACGGGGGGAGTGTACACCCCGGCGATATTATACTCTTTACCCCTGGATATTAGAAACAATATCACAGGGTGGCTGTACACCCCATGCGGTATTGGGAGTAATATTCTCTCCTCCCAAGAATATTAGGAAGATTGTCACAGAGTGGGTGTACACTCCATGCAATATTGAAAGTAACATCATCCTCTCCAGGGAGGAGATATTGTGCACCTGAGGGTGTACATTTCCTATGAAATTAAGTTTAATATCTTCTCTCCCCCACCTGGATGTTAGGAACAATATCACAGGGGAGGTGTACACCCCATGCGTTATTGGTAGTAATATCATTTTCTTTCCCCTAGTATATTAGGAACAATATCAAAGGGGGGCGGTGTACGTTCCCTGATATATTGGGAGTAATATCATCTTCTCTTTTCCTGGATATTAGGAACAATATCACAGTGGGGGGGGTGTCTACACAGTGTGACATTGGGAGTAATGTCATCTTCTTTCAACCTGGATATTAGGAGCAATATTACAGGAGGGGTGCACACCCCTGTGATGTTTTGAGTAATAGAATTCTCTCCCCACCTGGATATCGGAAACAACATCACAGGTGCTGTATACCCCCTGTGATACTGGGAGTAATATCATCCCCTCTGCCCCTGAATATTAGAAAAATATCACAGAGGGGTGTACACCCCCTGAGATACTGGGAGTAATTTCATCTTCTCCCCACTGGAAAGTAAGAACAATATCATGGAAGGGGCGTACACCATCTGAAATATTGGGAGTCATATCATCACCTCTCCTTCTAAATATTAAAAATAGTATTAAGGCGGGGTGTACACCTTCTGTGATATTGGGAGTAATATCATCTTTTTCTGCTCTGGATAGTAGGAACCATATCAAGGGGAGTGGGTGTACACCCCTTGTGTATGAGAAGTAATATTATCCTCCCAACCCTGAATATTAGGAACGATATCACAGGGGGTGGCGGTGTACATTCCCTGCGATATTGGGAGTAATATCATCTTCTCCACCCCTGGATATTAGGAACAATATCACAAAGCGGTGTACTCCCCCTGCAATATTGAGAGTAATATCTTCTTTCTCCCTGAATATTAAAAAAAATCACATGAGGGGTGTACACCCTCTGCAATATTGGGAGTAATATCATCCTATCACCCTCTGGGTATTAAAAAAAGAAAAAAGCAGGGCGTTTGTATACCCCCTGCAATATTGGGAGTAATATCATCCTCTTATTCCCTAAATATTAAAAACAATATCACAGGGGTGGTGTAAACTTTCTAAGATATTGGGAGTAATATCAGCCTCTGGATATTAGGAACAATATCACAGCGGGGGTGTACACTGTCTATGATATTGGCCATAATATCATCCTCTCCCCCTCTGGATATTAGGAACAATATCACAGGGTGGGTGTATACCTTCTGTCTTATAGAGAGCAATATCAGCCTGACCCATTTGGATATTAGGAACGATATCACGGGGGGTGGTACACTCCCTGCGATTTTGGAAGTAATATTATCATCTCACCCCTTGACATTAGAAACAATATCACAGAAAAGGTGTACACCCCCTGCGATATTGGGAGTAATATCATCCCCCCTTCATGGATATTTGGAACAATATCACAGGAGGGGTCTACACCCCCTGAGATGTTGAAAGTAATATTATTCTCTCCCTTCCTGGAAATTAGGAACAATATCACAAGTGGGATGTACACTCCCTGCGATACTGGGAGTAATGTCATCCTGTTCCCCCCAAGGATATTAGGAACAATATTACAGGGGGCGTGTCCACTGCCTGTGATATTGGATGTAACAAAATCCTCTACTCCCCTGCATATTAGAAACAATATCTCAGGGATATGTACACCCCCCTGCAATATTGGGAGTAATATCATCCTCTTGCATTCTGGGTATAGGAACAATGTAACAGACGGGGTGTACAACCTTAGCGATATTGGGAGTGATATCATCCTCTTTCTTTTCGGATATTAAAGAAAACAGGGGTTGTACACATTCTGTGGTATTGGGAGTAATATCATCTTCTTATTTCCTGGATATTAGGAACTATATCACTGGCGAGTGTACACCCTCTGCAATATTGTAAGTAATATTATTCTCTGTCCCTTGGCTATTAGGAACAATATCACAGTGGGGGTGGACACCCCCTGCGATATTGCACGTAATATTATCCTTTCCCCTCCTTGATATTAGGAACCACATCACAGGTTGGATGTACACTTAATGAGATGTTTGGAGTAATATTCTCTTTGCCCGTGGATATTAGGAACAATATCACAGGGTGAGTGTACAGCTCCTGTGATATTGCAAAATATCATCCTTTCCACACCTGAATATTAGGAACAATATCAAAGAGGGACTGTACACCCACTACCATATTTTGAGTAATATCATTTTCTCCTCCCGTGGTATTAGGAACAATATCACCGGAAGATATACACCTCCTGCGATATGGAAGTAATATCATCGTCTCCCCACTGGATATTAGGAATAATATCACAGGGATGGTGTACAGGACCGGCGATATTGAAAATAACATCATCCTGTCTTCCCATCGATATTAGGAACAATATCACATAGGACATGTACACTACCTGCAATATTGAATGTAATATCATCTACCCCGCCGGATATTAGAAACAATATCACAGGGGAGGTGTACAAGCCCTGCAATATTGGGAGTAATATCATTCTCTGACCCCTGGATATTAAAAACAATGTCACAGAAACGGTGTACACTCACTGCAATATAGAGAGTAATGTTATCCTCTCACCCCCTGGATATTAGGAACAATATCGCGGAGGGGGGGTGTACACACCCTGCGATAGTGGGAGTAATATCATCCTCTTCCTCTTTGGATATTAGGAATAATATCACAGGGGGTTGTACACTTCCTGCGATATGGGAAGTAATGCCATCCTCTCTCCCCTTGGATATTAGGAACAATAACACGGTGGGTGTACACCCCCTCCAATATTGAGAGTAATATAATTCTCTTTTCCCCTGAATATTAAAAAAAAAACTTCAGTGCGTGGGTATACACCCCTAAGATATTGAGAGTAATATCATCCTCTTCCTCCTTGGATATAAGTATCACAGGGGGCTGTACACACACTGTGATATTGGAAGTAATATTATTCTCTTTCCCCCTAAATATTAGGAACGCTATCACAAGGGAGATGTACACACCCTGTGATATTGAGAGTAATATCATACCCTCCTTCCATGGACAGTTTGAACAATATCATAGGGGTGGTGTACACTCCCTGTGATATAGGAAGTAATATCATCCACTCTTTCCCTGGATATTAGAAACAATGGCACGGGGGGGTGTACACCCCATGGGACATTGGGATTAATATAATTTTTCTCCTTCCCTGGATATTAGAAACAATATCATAGGAAGGGTGTAAACCCCCTGCGATATTGAGAGTAATATCATCCTCTCCCCCACTGGATATTAAGATCAATATCACAGAGGGTGTGTGCACCTTCTGTAATATTGGGAGTAATATCATCCTCTCCCCCACTGGATATTAGGAACAATACCACAGGGTGGGTGT